>NC_000013.11:70529318-70680833 GCF_000001405.40 Homo sapiens | reverse complement strand
ACTAATATTTTGCAAATATATTTGAATAGTCTTTGCTTATCTTACACTTGGCAATGTTATTTATTTTATAGATTTTGTTAAAGTTTAATATATGCAAATTTATCAATCTATTTATTGATTTGTATTTTTTAATGATTGTTTAGTTTATACTATGTTCCATACACAGGTCTGTTGGATAAGACAATCCTCCATGGCCTCTGAGCACTGTTGCACATCTTTAATATATAGACAAAAATACAAGTTCTGGATTGCTCTTTACAAAGCCCGTTCCTCAGGGTTGCCTTTGCAACAAGTAACTTGAAAGGATGAGGTAATGTCTCTCTCTAGACAAAATGGAGGCTTGCTTATCACTCATTATAGAAGAAACAGATTTTCTAAGCTCTAGGTTTCTTAGCTTCGATACAAAAATCACTCTTTGGAGGATATACCTGGGCCCATACCACGGTACTCCATGGAATGTGGGGGTAAGAGGAATCAGACATAAACAAATAAGCTCATGTTCTAGATGTATGCAGTGCTATGAGTAGTAAGTCCTTAGTCTCTGACTTAAGAGTCTTGTGTCTTCTGCCATGAGTTTCCTTGTTATCTTGTAAGAGGCAAAAAATTACAGAATGTTACAGGTTTGGGTGCTTAGAAACATTATAGCATAGAAGAGGCAAAGAGTCCTTTCATGATGGAGCCTGCATTCTAACAGAAAGAAAGAGACAACAAACAACACAAATAAGGAAATTTTGTAATATACAAGAAGAAGTTAAGTGCTATGGAAAATATGAAGGAGACTAAAGATTGGCAGTGCTGGGACAAGAGATCATGCTATTTGTATTTTGTCTATATTTTTTTCATAAGGCTAAAACAAGGTTAACCTATATTTTCTTCTGAAAGTTTAAATTTTACTTATTGTATTTTGGTTTATAATTTACTTGGAATATATTTTTGGGCATGCCAGTCATCCAATTTTATTACATTTTTTCATCAGGATAATCAATTGTCTCCAGGTCCATTTATCAAATTCTTACGGGTTATTTTAAATGATGAGAATGGTATTTGATTCCACGATGAGAGATACACTCAGTGATTTAAAATATTAGTATAGATGCAGTAAATGTTTTGGTGTAATTTTGCTTCATATTAAAAAAATCTTTCGAAAACAGCTATAGTTGACTAATAACACAACAGGTGTTCTTTCCTTTAAACAAAGAAATAATATGGTATTCAATTATTAAACAAATATTTGCTGGTCATCATCTTCTGAATTATTTTACCTTGAGGCATATAGCATGAGAATATACCTACCTTTTCATTATGGCTAACCAATAGCCAAATTTCATTAAATTTGGGACACCATCCTGAAGATCAATGAGAAGGAGGAATCCTAGTATGGTTTTCAAGTATATAACCGAATGTCTATTTGTATTAGCTTCAGTGGTTCTTTTCTGGGAATAGAGCTTTCAGAACGTTTATTAATATTAAATGTTAGAAGTCCCGTTTCTATTAAATAATGAAAGAGAAGCAATTTATATTATTTATTCTAGAAACCAACTATCAAAGTAACTCTCTTGCTTCAAAATATCTGAGTACCCTTCAGATGGGGAACTTTTACAAACCATCTTATTGTTTAGCCTTTTTTATCACAGAGAGACTATCACTGTATGTAATGATTAAAGCATCTATCCCCATTACAATATTGCTCAGGTACTTATTTTAGAGCCAGTCAACATATGTGAATCCAGAGGTTTGCAGTTTTGAATTAATTATAAATTGATGGGTTTAGTAATATGAAGACATTGGACATAGGCACATGTTGCATATTTTCCTAAGTCTCTGAATTTCATACTCTCTTCAATGTCTTTGAAAATTATTAGTCAGTATTTCAAGGGAGAATGGTGTTCCTCCAAAAGTTTTGACTAGCAAATACCACAGGGTCTTTTTACTAAAGACCTCCTGATATCACATTATTCCCCATCCATGTTTCCAAATTGGCATCAATGATTATGATAAACTTAAATTGTTTTGTGGGAACTGCAAAGCTAGTATGTTAGCATTGGCCCTATCCCTCAACCAAGGCTCCATTTTAACAGCTGTTGGACAGATATCTTGCTGTCAAAGTGGTGTGGACTGGACGGACCATCTCTAACACCTCTTGTGGCTCCAAGATATTTTTAATTCTATTAAGTTGGTGGAATATATCCAGGGCAGTGGTTGAAAAAAATTTGTGTCAACATACTTTAAGTAATAATTATAATCTTTTCTTCTCACAGTTATTCATCTTTTTAAAAAGTCATTTCTCCAGCTTATTTAATTCCTCAAAAATCAAATTATCATCCATTATACATTAGCATTTGCAAACTTTTACATTCATGGTTACTTCCTACTCTCACTCCCATAAGTCTGTGAAAGACAGCTAGTAAAATCAGCCCAAGAAATTCTATCCAACTGGAAAGCAAATGAATAAACAATAAATAAATAAACAAACAAACAAAAATCACATATTCCTTACTTGAAAAATGAAGTTTTCTTTTATCTCATAGCTAGCTAATAACTACTTGAATCTAATACTAAGAAAACACAATGAGACCAGAGTTTACTCACCTTGGAGTAGGGTGTATCATTCCATTTGTTCAAGCTCCTCTAATCCACACATTCTTAATTTTCTCAAGTCTCTTACTTCACACAATCAGGTTTGCATATAAGTCAGAAATAATGCCATTAATAGCAAATTCTAACAGCCACTAAAATCCTGGCCTCCACACTAAATAGTGTCTTCTTCTCAGATAAGATTATTATTAAGAGACCAACATTTCAATTCTGACTATGCTACCAATCAGTTATGTGACCAGGGACACATTATACAGCTTTCATTGACAATTTCCTTAGCCTTGAAGTATATATAATATTTAGCCTTTATGTTTTTAATGTTGCTTTTATATGTCTATGGTGTTTGATTTTGCATATAGTGTATACAAATAATGTGTGCATACTCAAAGTCTCTGAAAATGAAAAAGTGCCTCAAATCATTATTAATATCTATCTCCATAGACCATCATCATCTATATCATCTAAGCACAGTTAGAAATGGAGAAACTTTGTGAGAAACTTTTCTTCAAACTATCAGAAAAGAGGCACTTTCTTTTGTTTGGGACTACTAGTTGGAAGAAAAATGTTAAGTGTAAGTCTGCAGATAGTCATATTAGCCACTGCACAGAGAGCTTGCCCAGAAATGAAGCAATGAAGTTACCACAGAGGATAGCAGAGCTAAGAAATGGAGAGAGAGAAAGAGAGAGAGAAGGGACAATATTACATATCTTTGAAGACACACTTTGAGTATTTTTTCAAGCCAGATTCTTCTTTTGAACACACCAGTTACATTAATACATCAACAAATTCACTTTGGTTAATTTTAGTTGTTGCTATTTTTATTCATTTAATTAATTAATTTATTTTTGAGACGGAGTCTCACTCTCTGGCCCAGACTGGAGTGCAGGTGCAATCTCGGCTCGCTGGAAACTTTCCCTCACAGGTTCAAGAGATTCTCCCACCTCAGCCTCCCGAGTAGCTGAGACTACAGGTGTGCACTCTAATTTTTGTATTTTTGGTAGAGACGAGGTTTCACCATGTTTGCCAGGCTGGTCTTGAACTCCTGACTTCAGGTGATCTGCCTACCTTGGCCTCCCAAAGGGCTGGGATTACAGCTGGGAACCACTGTGCCCAGCTTAGTTACTGCTATCAAAATTATAGTTGATTTTTTAAAAAATTTCCCTTCTCAGAAGTTGAGTTAAAGAGTCAACTTTGTTTATAAAATCTTTTTAAGAAAAAGTATCCTCATTCCTGAAGGGAGATATCAAAGTCTCCCGGAGTTATAATGAGTTTAGTCATGTATTCTCATGCAGAATTAAAAGTTACCTCCCACTATCTCATCCCATAAAGTGGACACAAAATTAGAATATGCCCTTGAGAATTTATTCTGCATATCAGTCACTGAAAGAGAAGTCTATTAAAAGTTCAGGATATTTTTGAGAAATATATGCTCTAGCACTAGAGAAATAAGTAGTGTACAAACTAGAGTGAACACATTGGCAATTACTAGAGACCAAGAATGGAGAATGCGCTGTATATAGAAAGCCCAAGAGGCCTGTTCTTTGAGATTATTTGTGTCCTTGATGTGTTTAATTGCTTCTATGACTGTGTTTGTGTGTGTTAAGAATCAGAGAAGTTTGCAGGTCAGTCCTTTGGACATTTACCAAAAAGCAAAAATAATAGGTGTACATATATTGTGATGTTTGAGAATGCCTAGGGAAGCTGTGCTGTTTGAGTATTCATAGATCCAGAGGTATGGCTATGGCCTGCTTAGAACATACGGCGACTGGACCTACTCTGTGTTGACTTTTGTCCTAATTTCATAGTGACTTTTTCATGGCATCTGAGTGTATCTTTGGAAGAGAGGAAGAGCAAGGGAAGCACACGCAGGGAAGAAATATGGCCACGTCATTCATCAAGACATGGATAAATAATGTGGATGTGAATGACCAGAAGAGTTCAAATCTTGCCAAGCCATTTTATTAGAGGGCTTTGAGAAACTAGCTAAAGATATTCTCTTTTTTGTTTGTTTGTTTGTTTTGTTTTTTGTTTGTTTGAATTGAGACTGAGTCTCGTTCTGTTGCCCAGGCTGGAGTGCAATGACACAGTCTCCGCTCACTGCAACCTCCACCTCCCAGGTTCAAACGATTCTCCTGCCTCAGTCTCCTGAGTAGCTGGGATTATAGGTGCCCGCCACCAGGCTAATTTTGTATTTTTAGTAGAACCACCAAGCCCTGCTAATTTTTGTATTTTTAGTAGAGATGGGGTTTCCCCATGTTGGCCAAGCTGGTCTCGAACTCCCGACCTAGTGATCCGCCCACCTCGGCCTCCCTAAGTGTTGGGGTTACAGGCTGGGGTTACATTGCTCATCCTATTTTCTTATAGTTCCTTAAATAGCAGCATACTGAGGAGTGTAGATCTCACCCTTACATGTCTTTTAATACATATTTATTTTATAAATATAAAGAATTTTCTAAAATTTTGCATGTTACATTTTACAAGGGGCATATTAATCTCTACATGTATTTGTTTTAATTCATGTCTTGTAGAATTTATGTCTGTGTCTGTGTTCCATATTTCATAGCTAAGAAAACTGAAACTTTAAAAACTCTGATAATGTAATAAATTTCACACAGCTAATAAGGATAAGAGAAGTACAAGAGAATGTACGCTCAAAAATACTCTTTGCAAAAATACACTTTGCAAAGTTACAAAACAATGGATCAACTGTTAATCTGTCCTTAGACAAAGAGGAGGAAAATATTCCCCAGCAACTTGAAGTCTTAGTGATCTCATTCTATAATTATATATATATATAAAATATATATATAAAATATATATATATATAAAAATATATATATAAAAAAATTGCTGGGGAATATATATATATATATATATATATAGTCAGAGTTAATAAAGGTCCAGGTGCCATTATTCTAAAATAGCAAGACTTATGAATGGGAAAGTTAGAAAATGCCACATTTTATCCAGAGGAGTTATCGTGGACCGAAAGCTAATATGAAGTAAAATGGAGTTAATATAAAATCATCAGTGTTATTTTACTGTGAAACCTGGTTTACAGCAATCTTCTGCACCTGGACGTAAGAGGTTCTAATTCCTATGAATTATATGTGTAGACAGCCAAATTTAGGCAATAAGAACCATAATACACTACACAATTAGTACTCCTCTCACTTTACCCTGATGTATAACAATATGTCGTTCCCTACAATACCCCCAAAATAAACCTCTTCATGCAAAGAGACAGATCGATTCAATCAAAAATCAGTTACAATTGTTATTTGGTGTTAGGATGAAAGAAAATAGCGATTTCACTGTGTTCTACGTGAAAGATCCAATAACAGGCAGTAGAAGCATATTTTAAACATAAGATGTAATCTCTAACATTTAGAATTGTCCAGCAATGTAAAAAATTGCTTTCCATCTCTGGAGTTAAGACATTTGGAAATGGAATTTGTACACAAAATAGATAATGCATAAAATGTCTCCAAGATCCTTCACAGTTTAAGAATATTTAGGCAGGCATGTTTTTCTTTTCAGAAAGAGGGCAACAAGTAGGCACAAACATTGTGTAATTTGGTATCCAGTTTCAGGGACAACTGAAATCACCCATCTTTGATATACTCAAGGTCCAGCAAATGGCAATTGCCACCAAAAAAGAAAAAAAAAAAAAGAGGATATTTTAAATGGAACTAAATATTCTAGTTGGCTAAAAGAGCTTCTGGCCATCTAATGAAGGAAACTTTAGAAATGAAGTTATTGAATACAGTCTCTACTTCTAAATAATATGATATATGTGTATGTATGTATACATATATTTACATATATAGACCTTTATTTTAGGTTTGGGGATACATGTGAAAGTTTCTTACATAGGTAAACACAGGGGTTTGTTGTTTATTTCATCACCCAGGTATTAAGCCCAGTACCTTATAAGAATAGTTATCTATTCTACTCCTTTCCCACCCCAGTGTCTCTTCTTTCCTTCTTTGTGTTCATAAATTCTCATAATTTAGCTCCCATTTACAAGTGAGAACATGTGGAACTTGGTTTTCTGTTCCTGCTTTAGTTCGCTAAGAATGATGGCCTCCAGCTCCGTTTCCTGCAAAGGATATGATCTCCTTCTTTTTTATGGCTTCATAGTATTCCATGGTGTATATGTACCACATTTTCTTTTATCCACCATTGATGGGCACCTAGATTGATTCCATGTCTTTGCTTTTGGAATAGTGCTGCAATTAACATATGCATTCATGTGTCTTTATGGTAGAGTAATTTATATTTCTTTGGGTATATACTCAGTAATGGGATTGCTGGGTTGAATTGTAGTTCTATTTTTAGCTCTTTGAGGAACCACCACACTGCTTTCCACAATGGGTGAACTAATTTACACTCCCAATGACCACGTATAAGCATTCCCTTTTCTACACAACCTTGCCAGATTCTGTTATTTTTTGACTTTTTAGTAATAGCCGTTCTGTCTGGTGTGAGATGGTATCTTATTGTGGTTTTTATTTGCATTTCTCTAACGATTAGCACTATTGAGCTTTCTTTCACGTGCTTCTTGGCCGTGTATATCTTCTTTTCTTGAAAAGTGTATGTTCATGTTCTTTGCCCACTTTTTAATGGGATTGCTTGTTTTTATCTTGTAAATTTGTTTAAGTTCCTTACAGATGCTAGTTCTCCAGCTGAGGGAGAACTAGTTCTCCAGTTGAATTTTTCCTGGGACAGCACCTCTAGAAAGAATGGCAGGCCACCATCTTTGCTGTTTGGGAGACAGTCATTTCAGCCTTTGGCCATTGGAGAGTCTGAGCCAATGGGGTTGGTAGGGAGGGAAAGGATCTCCCAGCACTGGAGAGTGTGAGCCAAGGGGTTGATGGGGTGGGTGGAAAGGATCCCCCAGCACAGCACAGCTGTTCTGCCAAAAGGTGGCCATACTGATTGTTTAAGCAGGTCTCATTCCTCCTCACTGGGCAGGACCGTTCAACTGGGGCATCCAGCCACCCCCATCGGTGTTCTCCAGCCAACAGAGATTTGTAACCGCCCTGAGACAGAGCTCTCAGAGGGAGGGTGGGCCACCATCTTTGCTGTTTGAGCAACTTAGGCATTCTAGCCTTTGGGCCTTGGAGTGTCTGAGGTGACCAGGGGCTGAAGCGGACTCCCTGCACAGAACAGCTGCTGTACCAAAACCTGGCCACACTACTTTCCTAAGTGGGACCTTTATCCCGCTCCTCCTCACTGGGCAGGTCCTCTCAACTGAGGTCTCCAGCCACTTCCTACAGGTGCCTTTGGGCTAGCAACAGGACCATACCTCCCTGGAACAAAGCTCCCAGAGGGAGGGAGAGGCTGACATTTGTTTGTTTGTTTGTTTGTTTCACAGCCTCCACTGGTGACACCTCCAGGTTCTGGAAAATCCAAGGTGACTAGGGACTGGAGTAGGCTACAAGTTTACCACAGCAGATCTACAGAAAAGTGGTCAGACTCTTACATGAGAGAAGCCGTTCCCATATCTTCTCCCAGGTCAGGTCCTTGAGGGCCTGGGGCCCAGCTACCCGCCTCCAGGGCTACCAAGCCAGTAGCAACTTGGCAACTCCCTGGACAAAACCTCCAGGGTCAACTGAAAGCCTCTTTGCCACTGCCTCTGCAGTGGAACTGCCCTTGCCATCCTCAGACTAACAAAGGAGCAAAGACCCCAAAGGCCTTATTCATACCTCTAACAAGCTGCGGTCGACCCTAGGAGAGGAGGCCAGTTCCACCCAAATCAACCACTAGTAACCAGACAGGGAACTCCTGGCTTGGGCCCACAGCAGACCCTCCATCCTGGGCTGATTGCACTGAGCGATTGCTGACCTGCATCTCCCTGGGGTGGAACCCCTAGGGGACAAACAAAGGACCTTTGGACACAACACTATTAAGATCCCTTCATCTGCTTCTTCCAATCTGGGGAAGAAACATAAGCACTGAGATCGCTCAGAGCTGCACTGGGCAGCCCAGGAGTGCCAAGCCGCAATCTACAGCCAGCACTCAAGGGGGAGAGGAATCCACACTTTCAGAGCATTGAGAGGGAACATAGATGCAACTGTGGGGAAACATAGAGGAGCCACACAACCGAGCCAGAGTCTACCAATTGACCGATAAGCCTAAATGCCACCTGCTGTATCTCACCCTAAAGCTTCAAACCAAAAAATACCTCACTAACATACCCCCCTCTGAAAAATATAGTAATACAGCTCTTTTATAAAGAAAATGGAGCTTTCAGTTTTTCTCAAAATGTATTTTTGTTTCCTTTTGACTAAGTGATATTGTTAGAAACAATGGCATGACAGAAAACTCACTCTGATAGTTTCCAAAAAGTCATCATTTGGGAAAGTTCAAGACTAATTATTGAAGTTTCCTTGAATGAAGTTTAAATTCTGAGTACTGTTATTCTTCATGAGTTATGTACATATTTATTTTTACAGTGTTTTATACATAATTTAATATTTAAACCACTTGCCATCTTTGGGAATTTAGATTGACATTTCATTCAGCAACAACTAGGGCCTTTGTTTCTAAATATATTTTTCAAAATTCTTGCTTGTTCTGTTTTTCACTTTCAAAATTATTTCTGAAATTTAATTGACATCTTAATGAATACATATTTTATATCCTTTGAAAGTAAGCCAATTATAGAAGCTTTCCTTAAAAGGCTGAAGCAAAAAAAAAGATTATAATTTTAAAAATTTGAGAGAATAATAATAATTTTCTCATAAAATAATACTGTTTAGAAATAGAATTGAGTCATTTGACTTGCTGTTTAAGAAAGAAAAGCTTTATAAATTATTACTAAAATGTTGCTTTATGAAAATGAAAAACATTGGTAAAAAATAGAAAGTGCTATAGGGATACATGTTCAAAACATACAAAATCTTCCAACGATCATATGGTTTATAGGAAATATACAAGATTAGAGCTAAGAGTTTTAATATGTACAAGCAATTTATAATTACAACTCTAGTTTCCACATTAGTCTGAAGAGAAAGACATTTGAAATTAGGTTTTATCAATTGATAGTTCATATTTGTCTTATATGCTTGATGGAAATACAGTGCAAAAGAATTATTCTTGTAACAGGTATATTACAGAAACAAATTTTATTAATAGCCAATGTAACTAGCAGTTATACTAGAACACATTTGCTGTTCAGATGGATTCTTATATCCTTATTAGCATTTCTTACAAAAATAGCAATAGGCTCCATAATAACTACAATGGTCATTTCTGTTACAAACACATACCCACAGAGAGAAAGACTATAAGGCAGTTTAAGCGCTTCCACAGATGATTATAGTGCCTCATATAGCCTGAAAACTTGAAGCCTTTCCTTCAGAAATAGTACAAATTGAAATTGATTGAATTTGTTGGTTCCATAACAAATGGTCCAGGAGTGGGTTATCAGTAGGTACATTACAGTTGCTTTCATGTGTGGAGAACTTTACAGTTTTGTATCATTTTCTTTCTAAAAATAGTACAGCCATGAACTTAGATAGCAATGTGTTTACAGGGTCTTTCATACCTAATCAATCTGCATCTTTAAATCCCATTCATTTGTTTTCTTTCATGCATTTGGGTAATAAGTATTTACTGGCTTCAGTCCTATACTCTGGAAATATAAAATAAATGAGAAAATTATTTCTTTATCTTGAGGGACTTGTAATCTAGTACAGGTAACAGTAAGTAAATAAGTGAAATAAGAGAAATAAGGAAAAGCAAAAAATTTACATGGCAAGCACAAAGCCTAGAGTCTTCATTTGTAATTTGAAGTTGAACAGGGGCTTTAAAGGATGTATATTTAAGGTATATCTTAAAGAATGAATTATTGTTGCCAATTGGAGTCAACGTTAGATAAAAGCAGTGATTCGATTGGCACTTCAGAGGGGATTTAGCAATGTTTAGGGACATTTTTGATTGTCGCATGTGAGTAAGTAGCCGTGCTACTGGCATCTGGTGGGTAGAGGCCAGGGATGCTGCTACACACCCTACAATGCTCAAGAGAGCCCTTAACCCCACCTACCGGAAAAAATAATAAATTGTCTGTCCCAAATTCTCAACAGTGCCAAGGATGAGATACATTGAAATAGAGGCATTATAGGCAAAAGTGATACAAAGAGGAAAGCATTCTATAGGGTTATAAAAATATAAATTTCTTGATGTGCATAGAGGGACTGGGGACAGGAGGAGCAAGAGTGGCCATAGGACCATAGAAAGGAAAGGTTTGTATTTTTTGGCAGCACATATGTGAATAAAGACACATTTTTGTTTTTCTAAAGGACAGTATAGTAGTGGAAAAATAAAATAAGAATGGGTCTTTTATTCTTACACTTTAAAGTTTAAAACAAATATTAACAGATAAACAGTGAATTCAATGAAATGCTCCTATGATCTTAAAATGTAAAGAAGCTACATTAGAAGTAATATGTAATTTATTTCTGGCAAAACATAAATTAATAGAGGTGTGTGTGCATTATTATGCAAATTGTATTTTATCAGAAAAATATGTGTGCTCTCACATCACATGATAACATCTTCTCTCACTTTACAATATGCAAACTTAGAAAAGTTTCATCAGATGAATTGATATCTGATAATTGATTACCGAAACAATTAGGTGGTAATTGTGGAATATAGATAATATTTTAGCCTACAAAATGAAAATAAGGTAGATTCCATTCATGGCATGTGTACTTAAAACACTATATCTGTCTACAGTGCTGCTATTTCTTGAAGTAGTGCCTTGCACAGTGTCTGGCAAATACTGATTGAATGGTTGTTAGTATGAATACATGAGTGAGTAAATAAAAGGAGGAAAAGGAAAAGAAAGGAAATGAATTGAGACAAGGGGAAGGAGGAAGGAAGGGAGGGAGGGAGGGAGGGAAGAAAGGAGGATGAGGGGAGGAATTACACCTGTTAAAAGCTCAGAATTAAGTTCTATTAGGACAAGGATTTTTTTGAGTGTTTTGGCCACTGCTGAATTCCCAGTAACTAGAAGTATGCTTGACACATATTACTGCTCAACAAATATTTGTTAACTGACTAAATGCCCTACTGTCACCCAACATCCTGCTTTTCAGTATGCATACAAAAGTTTTGTTGGAGTTAGGAAGGGCTGACATAATCAGTCATTATATCACTGATGACTGTATATTGGGGCAGCAGAGATATTAATTGTATGCATTATTTAGGAGTGACCCCTAAAGTGAAAATAAACAACAATTTTGCAATGCCTCGATTGTTAGCAATAGATTGTCTTGGCTTAACCATGGATTTTGAATATTCAGAATTCAAAATCATGTGTACGTGTGTATGAGAATGGGGGTGGGGGAAGGAGAGAATAAGAGAGCCAAAGCATATTCTGATAACAGAGAGAGAAAAATAAGACATGATTTAAGAAGCAATAGAAAATATAAACTTTTTTTTTTTTTTTCTGCTACTAAGTACACCTGAAACCAACATTGTTCAAGAAATGAGGACATTTAGGGTACCATGGTTTATTTGTTTCTGGCATAAAGCTATAAACAACAATGTGCTTTGCACACCAGGTATTTAACAGTGCTTGCACAGTGTCCATATAGAGCATCTGATGCTTTTTCTTTTTTAACAGATCTGGTCTCCCTATGTTGCCCAGGCTGGTCTCACCCTCCTGGCTTTAAGAGATCCTCTCGTCCTGATCCCCTGAAGCACTGGGATGAGTCACTGCACCCAGCCAAGCAGGTAATTCTTAAACTTTATGCAGCTCTTGGGGGTGTGGCCTACTGAAAGAAGCACTAGAGATTAAACACCTCTCATCATACCATCTTAGCCACAACTCTGTGACCTTTGATCCTTTCTCCCTCAATGTCCTTATTTGTTGAATGGGGATGATAATTCAACCTCTACTAACTTAAGGACTATATGGAAATATAGACTCAAAAATAATTTCAAAAATAGATTTTTAAATTTTGAATGCTGATAGCAAAGTTTAAGATAATATGGATCTATATGATAAATCAAAATAAGCCTATTTTGCATGCTGTAGTGTGTTCTTTCTGTATTTAGGAGGGAACAATTTATTAATTTGAAAATGCTCTATAAAATTTTCTGCTTATGAAAGCTGATAAATTTAAATGACTTTTCAATTGGGAAGCTTTTGTCTGTGGCTATAATTACCTTTTCAAGAAGAATTTTTATTGTTCAAGGAAGAATTCTGTAAGTTAGAAATTCATTTAGTAAAAAAAGGAATATGGGGTGTTAATATATTTTTTTCCAAAACTCTTTTTGTCATGTACTCCTAGTAGATTTGGTGTTTCCTCATGGCTTGCTACATCTGCATTATTCCAAAAGTAAACTTTTTGCATAAGATCTAATTTAAAATTCTGTGCTACCTAAAATTACTGGTTTGGGACAATAATTTTACATTAGTGCTTTTTTTTTAAAATTTCTCCAGCATGAATTTACTAATGTAAGAATAATAATTCCATTTAATATATTCTTTTGTTTTAGGTGTCACTACAATGTCTACTGTGAATAAAAGTTTAGGAGTAATTTTGCCTTTTAAATATCATAAACATTAACAAATGCTATTTGATTCTCTTACAAATTAAATGAGAAGAGCCACGAAATTTTCCTAACCTTTTCTGTAGCTCAATAAATCACAAACAGACAAGGAAGTTAAGCACTACTTCAGTGGAATATCAGCAGACAGATGTAGCACACATTCTCTCAAAATAATTCAAAACCTGTTTCAATTTATCAAATGCCTACTTTATCTGTCAAAACAATGTCCTTTCTCAAATAAAGGGCATTGTTTCTGTAGCAAGAAAAGGTTCTGATGTATTGTTATTTGCAAATGGATGGTGGAATAATGGAACAACAGGCAGTGTTTCCAGCTAAGAGATCAAGGGCCAGAATGCATTACAAATCTTGTTAAAATAAATGAGGGTAAGAGCATAATTCCAATAAAGACATTTATAGTCTTAAACAATCTCTCACTCTTCTTAAGAGATCTTTAAAATGAACCCAAATCCTCCCATAAACACCAAAAGGTTTTTGCTGCTTCTCTCAAAGTTCAATATTCAAAGAAATAGAGATTTGTAGAACTCGCATGCAAAATAGATACCAGTACCTCTTCAATGTGCTGACATTGTAGAATTTTACTGATGCTGCTAATCTTTCTATCTGTTGCATTTGTCTGTGCACCTGGGATTCAAAGAGGAAAATAGTTGTTCATATAATATCCAAATCTAAAACATATTTTATTATGAAATGCTTAAATAAATAACTATGCTTATTTTGTAAAATTAATCTTAAAAAAGTAGTGTACCTTATTGTAAGTGACTTTTTGTTAGATCATTTTAGTACTTGAATATGTAGCATCTACAATAAACCTTTTAATTCTAAGTTATGATTAAATATTTCCTTCTTTAACAGTATGAAAAAACTGAATATAATCACAACAACACCAAGTAATAAAGATGTGCTTTACCTGTGCAAGTTAGCTGTTATGTCTTCCCTATGATTGCGGGTTGTTCTCCTTTTCTTTATTCTAGTTATTTGTTTAGTTTATTTTTTAAAATGTAACCATGACTTCTACCAGTTACTAGAATATATTCTTAAAACAAATTTATGGCACTCTTGTCTTGAAAATAAATTCTACATTAAGAAATAATATTTGGAATTGATAACTATAAAATACATTAGTTCATGATCATGAAATAATATAATTGATCATAAATGCTATAGTATTATGTGAATATCACATAGTGATATGTAACACTGCTGTTATATATATTCACATAATACTATAGTTGAATCACTTTTAAAAATAGTAACTATTAGGGAGTTATTAAAGATATATTGACCACATGAATTATCTGAGAATAATTCCTAGAAATGAAAAACATTTTGCTTCACATAGAGTGTCATGTAGATTGTGAAGTTTACTGCCTGAAACTATCACTAAACTTTTATCTCCTGAAACTAAGTTTTCTCACTTATATAAATAATAGTTGAATTAAACAAGAAACATTTGCAACAAGTTGTAAGTTAAGAAGTCAGAAAAAAAGACAGGTATTGAGTTAGAATTATGACTTCTCTTAAGAAAAATACTCCAGCATGCACCAAAGTCCTGGCTAAAGGGAGGTTTCCATGAACACACTTTCTCCTCATGCTTCTAGATAGCTCATAAAAGGGAAATAGTAACTGATGCCCCTTTGGCATACTCACATCAAAATTATCAACTCAGCCTATAGAATTTGTTCCAAAGTGTTTCAATAAATAACATCAATAGGCCACACCAATCCAAATATTCCCTAATTTCCTGTTATGTACTATATATTGTGATGTGCATTAGAAATATAATGATTATTTATCCTATCTTCAGGGAGGTCTCAAATCCAGGGAGATCTCAAATCCAGGAACAGCTTGAACTTTTCAATTGTTTTGCCCCCATTCTCCATACTATCTCATGTACTCTAAGTCATAAACTTAGTTCATTGAAATAAAAATAAAAATCAGACTGTAAAATATTTTTAAATTATTATTCCACACTTTTTTATTATTCACTTTTTTATTTTATGACAAACAAATATGAATGCATAAACATGATATACATTCATAAACCCATTTATATCCATATTTCAGGGAGTATGCATATGTACTTGTGTACAAACATACTCATAAATCTAATCATCTATCTTTCCATGTACCTATCTATTTATCCATTCAATGACAATAATGAAGACTTTTAAAGCTTGATTCAAATAGATTTGAACCCAAATTCTGCTTCAACTCCTTACAAACTATTTGACTTCAAACATGTCAGTAAACATCTCTCTTCCTCAGTTTTCTCCTCAGTAAAATGGAAATAATATCTATTTCACTGGTTTGTCTTGAGAATTAAATTTAAAAAAATGCCACATAGGTAGTTGATTTGTAACTAATAAGTGCACAATAACTGTCATCAATCTTTTTTATTAGTGGTACCTTTATTTAGGCAATGTGGTGCAATGTTTCTGAGCATAGATTTTGGAAACAGATTACCTCATTATTTGTATTCATATTTCACCTCTGCCACTTAGTATTTATATGACTTTGAGAAAGTTCCTTTAACTTTTGCTGCCTCATTTTTTTTCATCCATAAAATGGGAAAAATAGTACCTATTCCATAGAGTAATTTATATTCTTTATGCTTAAATTTGTGTATTTAAATGTATATAATCACTCTCATTTTGAGCTCTCTGCTGCTACTTCTTTCTTTTCTGAATGTATGAATAATTTTTATGATCCATTAACACTTTTTTTCTACTCTGCAGGCAATTGTTTTACAAGGCATGGGAAGACATTCTGACCTTTGCAATTCAATGGCCTGGGACAGAAGTGGTGACCATGGGAACTGTTTACATCACCGTTCGATGACATGAGGCACTGAGGAGTAAGAGAGCAACAGTTCTCACTTTCTTCTTTAGTAAACATAATTTGGGGGGGTGAAAGGCTTTTTGTAGAAATCTTTAAAATGTATTATGCATATGTGAATGTACATGTGAAATTTATAATCTGGGAAATCTGAGTATACAGATTCTTGCATAATATACATCAGCTAATTGCATCTGTTTCCAATTGTATGGTGTGTGATAAAAAAAAATGCTGTACTTATATGGGGAAATTTGACCAAGGTGTCCCAGAACATGTCTCTGTTTAACAGAATGCATTTGGAAAAAAAAAACAAAAACACAAACCTTGGGATTTCTTACCCACTATCATAAATGTTGAAGACAGACATCTTTTTTTAACTCTACAATACGGTCTGCCTGTGCTTTAGATGCTATCTAAAGTAGAACTACATGTGAGAAGAGAGAACAGCTGTTAATACATGAATGATGAATAAGACTTCATCATGATGAAGTTTCTGTTTTGAAGATTTCCGACAGCACACTCTGATTTCTGTTTTGAGACTTGCCTCTCAAAACTAAAGAAATCAACAGCCATACCAATACCTCTAAGTACCTGACAATGGAGTAGGACAAGTGACAACTGACTCATCAGCCTCCAAACACTTCTCCTTACAGTGTACCTTGATTCTATGCAAGGACTAAGGAAAGGTTAAAATGCAAATATATTACTATTTGGAACAATACATTATTAATCTATCATTATCATTAACTTTTGGAAAAACAAAAGTAATTTCATCAGATTAATAAAATAAATTCTAAATAAAATTAATTCCAAGAAAATTTCCTATCCATCTAAGGGTAGGAAAAATCAGTCAGAAAAAAAAAAAAATGTCATTCTGCAGAATACCAGCTTGGAAGAAACCTGATATTAAAATACCACATGAAGACACGAAGAGGAACATAAGGAGAAAAGATCATTCATGGAACAACTTTTGTCTAGGAAAACCCTCATTCACAATCTGTGTCTAGAAACTAAAAAAGCAATTGCATTGAATTTGGAACATATACAATGATGATAAACTATAATTTACCTAACTGACTGTATTGTTTGGTTAATTGAGATAAATTAATTAGAGGAGAAAAACTGATGTTATAAGTTTAGAATATCTTGCATTGCAAATGACCAATTGATTTTTCAAAGTGTTCTGTTTTAAAGAAAGTTGCACTATAGAATGTTATTTTGTTTTAAAAGAAGATAAAGTATTGCAAAAATGAGTGACTTAAAACAATGTGTGAGACATTGTTTAAATTGATGCATTTTGAGCTACAAACCAAAAATGTATATATAATATAGAAATTATTATAGGTATTATTTATTTTTTACTAGTATTGCACATATTTTTAAAAGCCCAATTATCTTTTTGATCACATTATAATTTATCTTGCTTTTGAATATCTAGGGACAACATAGAAAATGTTTTAAAATCTTTAAAAAAATGTTAATAGCATTAAGGCATTTTCCCTAACAAACGAACTGTAGGAAAATATAAGACTTTTCAAACTATAAGGGCATTTAATGATAAATGTATGTATTATTCAAGCTTCTGATTAAGATGAACAAACATTAACAGACTAAAGCAGCTGTAATAATGCAATGATTTAAAACAATAAAAATGCCTCTGTAAATATTAAGTCAATAACTTTCTTCTGAAATATAAAATGTGCTTGCCACAGAAAATTAATATGATTTCTCGCATGTAAATTACCATATTTTAAACAAAAGATATCCTCAAGAACCATTTTAATCTTTGCTATATTTTACATATAGTACTTTCAAATTCATATTTCAGCATTGACATATTTCAAATAAAGAAAATGGACTGTTGTAATCCTTTGTATGGTGTTTTCATTCAATTAGCTCTATCTTTCTTTTTCTAAGCAAACAAGATGGCAATTTACTCAAAGTCAACCCATAATAACATATATCAGCCAGAGTCAAACAAACACAGCACTGCTCTTGCTACACCTTTTAAAATCAAACAATTTTAAATAAAAGCAAACATGAACATAAATAGTGTTTCCCTTTGGAATTTGACTGTTGACAGAAAAATGATAAAAACATAAAAATGGTTTGAATTTGTAAGGAAGTTAAATAATTCAGGAAATGTTTTATTAACTGATAGCAGAGAGAACAGGATTTTGGTCTTTGTGTTATAAAGTAATGAAAAAATAAAATATATGATATGTGGCTGATTCATAGAAAAAAGCTCTTCCTAACCATATTAAAATTTCACAAGGTAGTTAAAAACCACATTCTTATCAAGCACTTACAAAAGTAAAATTTTGCTTAAATATCCATTTTTTTCTTTTAAATGTTAGTTCCAACATTTTCAAAGGTGAAGAAAAAGTTGTTTGTCTGTACATAGTTTTTAAAAAGGGTTTGTGGTTTATATTTTCAACTTACTATAACAGAAACTTAAAGAAAGGAGAATTTGAAACCGCAAATACTTTAATTGCTTTTATTTTGTTTTGTTTGGTGTTTTGGACAGTTAAGTGCTTGGAAATTACCTTATTATTCTTATAAGATGAAAATAGAAGGTTATCATTTCCAAAATACCATTGCTAAGATTTTTTCTTTTAGATAAAACATAAGAAAATATATTGAAAAATAGTCTTAGGCAAATTGTAAATTTTAATAAAAGTTTATAATTATATATTTATAGGAAAGTATTAATTTTAAGAAAAATAAAAATTATTTTAAAATTTTATTAGTTGATTCCATATGCCAAAAGAAATATAGACTTCGTAAAAATATTAAAATTAAACACTATTTAATTTCCAACCTACCCCCATAGAGTACAAATTAAATGTTAGTGTTACAAAGGAATAGAATTATACACTCTTAGGCTTGGAGTCTTGCTCTATTATTTACTAGCTATGTCGTAATTGGCACATTATTATTATTTTGAGTCTCAGTTTCTTTATCAGAAAAAAAATGGTTAGAGTAAAATGGCTGTGGCGAGAGTGAAATAATGAAATACATATAAAAGACATAAGAAGGCATTTCCTCAGCCTTGTTTATGTATCTTCGTTTTCCCTGAATCTTGCACAGTGCCTACTCATGATCATGATCAATGAACAGCTTGAGATTAGGAAGAAAAGAAAAAAGAAAGAAGCTAATTATACAACAATTTTATAAAATGTATATCTTTTCTTCTGGTAGCTATAAATTTCCTTTAGATATTTAATCTGAATTATTTGTATGTTTACAGAGCTTTATTTTTGAACTTGCTAAACATTTTAGATTAAAAAAGAAAGGCTGAAAGAGATGCTCTCTTATAAACCTAGTAGCATTCTAACTTGGTACAAGTTGTTTGGTATGTGGAACTTAGTACAACTCTTTTGTACAATATCTAACCAAGAAGCATTTATAACTTTTGACATAGTAATTCTGCTTCTGGTACATCAATCTCAAAATATAATAGAGAAGATGCAAAATAATATGTGCATTCTGTTGTCACCATGGCATTATTCTAGGAATCATTGGAAATAATCCTTATGGAAGTTAAAGCCTAGAAGCTGTTAGTATAATGTCTGGAACTACAGATAATGATTGACAAATATTAGCACAAGATGAAAATAAAAGCACAAGTGTGCAATAATAAACAGTTCATTTGATGATTCTCTGGATGGGATATTATGTGCCATCATGATGAATGCAGTTACATGAACAAAGACTTCTGAAATAATGCTAAATGTGTACAGGAAGGTATAAAAGCTCACTGACATGACAACTAGCATGAAAAGTAAACATAGGAAAATATTATTATTAGGATGGTTAGATGTGCAGTGTTTTCTTCTTTTCTACTTAAGCATTTATAACGTTTTTATATTATTAGCATTTTCTAAATTTCCAGAACAACACAATATCTTCATTGTGCTACTTATCTTACTTATTAAAAAAATAACATGTAATAATTCTATAATTGCAGTTATGATTATCCATACATCTACCTACCTGAAGTGCCAATCTTATAACTACTCCCATTTTTGTATCACTTTTTTATTTCCTGTATGCAGGTATTAGTTTACAAACACCAACATAAGAAAAATAATATTTGTATAAAGAAATGAAGTTTAAGAATTATTATTTAGGGTACATATTCAGAGTGAAAGAATATATAGATAGGAGAGACTGCAGAATTCCATACCATTGTTTAAATCCCCACCAGAAAATGTGTCTAGCTGTGTATGAATGATATGGAAACTGGGTATAATGATCATTTGCCTGAACAGAACTATTTGCATGAGCATGGGCTTTGAGAATTTTGGTAGAAAATATACCCAATACAACTTAAGAAACACGTTTTGCTCTAAGACTGATCAAAGCAAACATATTATTCTATCATAAGCATTCACGTTTATAGTAGTGATGGTATCTCAAGGCATTTTTAACAAAAACGGGTTTTTTGGAAAATGTTTATTTAAATCATAGGCCTTTGTGGTAGGTTGTTTTATTTTTTCTGGTAGACCTTTAAAAATGATACTCTCAGATAATTTTGTAAACTGATATATCCATGAAAACATTAAATCTATAAAATGAAGTGAGTTATGTAACTAGCCTATGTAACTAGTGGAAGACATTTCCAGGATATGATAGATATATTATTAAGTTCAAAACAAAATAAAAATTATTCACATGGATTCATGTAAATATGAATTTGTGTAATTAAATATGCCTCATTTTTTAAAATGTTGTCCATCCACTTTATTCCTCATGTACATTACCTTCTCTATGGCTGCCTTGGGATGCCCAAAGCAAAGCAAAAAGTTAGTAATACCTGAGATGAGTTTCATTGTAGAGTGTATTATTGGTGTTATTGGTGTATTTTATTATAGCTTATTGGGTAGACTTTCTTCCTGAGTGTTGTCTGTTTTCCAACTTGTTGATACTCATCCACAGTCTATTTCCAAGTAATGTAGTTTAAAATTATTGAAGAAAATATCTGAAGTAACGTAAAAGCATTGTTTGATTAATTTTACATAAAAAGTTTTTGATCAAAGGATATACCCTTGAAATTTCCCTTAAAATATCAGAAATATTTATAAGAATGATAATAAAGAATTATTGAATAAACCCCAAAGAGGAGACAGTGGTAATATTTGTTAAAGCTTGACAATTTTACAGGCACTCATTTATGAATGAGTGATAAACTTCTTCGTAAATAGTACATCATTTTAAATTTATACTTTTAAAAAACGATAAGGAAGATACATTTTTTCTAGTAATTCCTTAGATGAAGGATGTAAGACTCACAAGATTTAATAACTTGCTTTATGTTTCTAAGGAATCAAAAACCTTGATTGAGTGACAACTGTTGTAAAATACAAAAGCACTTTTAACACCATAAAATGTAGGCTATCATGGAATATGGTTCTAGCATACATAAGTGGCACACATTGTCTGCAAGTGGAGCTAGTGTGCTAAAGCTAAATGCAAAATGAAGAAAAGCAGAATACATTTTTTTCTAAAAATAAAAGAATTACAGATTATTCTAAAATATCTAATATTTTTCGAAACTTTTTAGACTAGTTTAAACTGCCAAACCTGCAAATGACATTAATTGTTATGTAAGCACAAAACAAGTTATACTAAAGTAAGGGTTTTTGCAAATAAATTTAGAGACCTATGTTCCAGTCAGTGGAATCAAATGTTTTACATTCAAGTTCAGAAAAGAAAGAGCACATGTGATTTTTAGAGGAATTTGTACTGGCAACCATGTTTCTTCCAAGGCAGTGCTAACCATGACACTAAATACTGTAGTATTTGGAAAGATAGACAGTAAAAGTGATTGCCAATGACAACTTTAAAATGAAAAATTTCTTGCCTAATTAAAGCATGATAATTAATAGTATCCACATTGAACTCTTTTGGAGTTTATATCCACTTTGAGTTACAAATCAAAATCTGGGAATGTGCTATGCTTGTGTGTATGTCTTTAAGACTAGAGGCAGTCAATGATATATGTTTTCTCGACTATGTTTTACCTAAAACTTAGGGAATTATGCTGGAATTATGTGACACATCGAGTTCTGTGTGTGATACCTGAAGCCATTTTCAGATATTGCTCATGGCCCAGGCCCAATAATTGAATAATGTCATTGCTGTCTTGATTAAATATTGACTACTAATTTAGTGAGGCAATCAGTATTGTTAAGGAAGGTAATTCTGAAAATTAGTACTCAGCTAAAATTAGCAAACAAGAAACCTTGGTCTCACACATATGCATATACCTAATCTGCAAATCTGTGTATCATCATGAGATAAAGCAAATAGGACTATTGCATTCCAATTCTGTACAGTCTTCTTAATGCTTTTCATCCTCTGTGATTTATATTATTCAAGATTTCATATTGTTTTACTTTAACCTAATTTTATTTGTAGAAAGTTAAAAATGAGTACCAATTCAAGTTACTGGAAGCAAAAAGTGGATAATGTCACTTGAGACCACAGTAAGGCATACAACAATACAGGTATCAATACAAGTATCAAAATCTGAACATTTTTGTACGACACAAGATAAGTTCAGAAAATTATCTGCAGAGCAGAGCAAAGATAAAACGTCCTTCAGAGGTTTAGAAAGAGTTCTGAATCCTCAAAGTCTAAGCATTCACAAGGCACTTGAGTACTCCAACTTTTAAGGTTTTTAGTGCTTGACTTGCTTTCTAATAGTTTGCTAGTTGCAGGCAACGTTGAGCATAAAGATGTTGACCATACGCAGGAGAAAAAGATAAAAATCTTCTGCTAAACAACTCAGGGGAAAGATGACGACATTACAAACTAGGGCAGAGATGGGGCTGTACCTTACATCGCAGCTCCCACACATGCTCAGGAATAAGTACGGCAAAAAGGCTTCCCCAGTTAGGCAAACTATTACACATTTTAAATTGAGGGACTTATTTCATCACGTGATTTCCACATTGAAAAATATGTTTGAATGAGGATATACCTAAATATTATTGTCTCTTTAAAATAATTTCAACTTTTATTTTAGATTCAGAGGGATATGTGCAGATTTGTTAGACGAGTATATTGTGTAATGCTGAGGTTTGGGGCACACATATTCCTGTCAAAAATAAGAATAAATAAATAAATAAATAAATAAATAAATAAATAAATAACTACTGTAGTAGCTAACAGTGAATAACATTGCAAGTTACTTGTCACTGCAAGTATACATAGCAGAAGCAAAGACATGCTTCATTTTGGTGAGAGCACATATACTTTTTAAAAGAATATCTAAGACTCTGTGGAAAGAAAAGAACTATTTCTGTAATGTTAAAAAACCCATATTTAGAGCGGAATTGGGGATAAAAAGGACATGTGTCAGATACCCTGTGAATTAGTCCTTTCTCATACTGCTGATAAAGACATACCCAAGAGTAGGTAATTTAGAAAGGAAAGATGTTTAATTAACTCACAGTTCCACATGGCTGGGGAAACCTCATAATCATGGCTAAAGGCAAATGAAGAAAAAGTCACATCTTACATGACGGCAGGCAAAAGAGCTTGTGTAGGGGAACTCCTCTTTATAAAACCATCAGATCTCGTGAGACTTATTCACTATCACGAGAACAGCACAAGAAAGACCTACCCACATGATTCAATTATCTCCCACTGGGTCCCTCACATGACGAGTGGGAATTATGGGAGCTACAATTCAAGATGAGATTCGGGTGGGGACACAGACAAGCCATATCACCTTATCACATGTCCCAAAGAACTTTTGTTCTCTACAAACCTCAGTGTTCAAATGATTCATAACACCTTAAATATGTTTTACAATATTTTGTTTATTTTCTAATCACTAATAAGTAAGAGTTCTGCTCTGTGTTCAATCTAGAGCCTTAAATAAATGCTGATTTTGGTTCCTAAAGGCAGAAATAGAAGGTCTTGAAACAGAATTTAATTGCTTTTTAAACATTTCATAACAGGCATTACAGGCAAGTAGAAGTCTTTCAGGATCAATGGAAAAGCTTCTGTGATCTTATAATCTCACCAATGATTTATTTTTTCTTACATAGCTAAGCAAAAATTCCACCTTTGATTTGGTCCTAATATCCTTCCAGCTTTCTCTCAAAACAGGGCTGCATTTTGCTTGTTATGTCATTTTATTTCACCTTTATCTCCAGAAAATGCACCTAACACATATTCTTATAGTTATTACATTCTGCACCTTACTTTCTTTTGTTGAAAATAAGAACTATGTGTTTTTCACCTGTGTGTTTCTGGCCATGCATGGTAAACTGTATAGATTTCAAATTAAAATACTTTGAAATAAATTGCAAAATAGATTTATAAAATTGAATAAATAAAATGTATATTTGGTGAACAATAATTTACTAAATTGAAACTATTTTATTGGAAATTTGAAGTATACCATATATAAATTATAAAGATCACTGTTTAACAAAATTAGGAGACAAGAAATCACGGATAAAGTTGCATTAGATCAATGACACATAACTGTGGGCTCATTAGTTTGAATGTGAATTGTAATTTTAAAATAGAGTTCAAAAATGGTTTCTAAATTAATTCCCCACAGAAAAGATTTTAAAATCTCATATAGTCTAAAGGCTTATGATGAAATTAAAAACTATGATAGTAATCTAAAGAATAATAGCTAACATTTAAATAGTTTACCATGTGGCACACAACTTACAATTATCCAATTAATACTTGAAATTCTATAATATAAGTCCTTCCAGTATTTCTGGTTTAAAAATGATTCACAAAATGTATGCAATTTCCCTAATCTCTGACAACTAATAAGCAATGGGGTTGGGTTTAAAACCAGGCACTGCAGCTCTAGCATCTGTGCTCTTCATAGTACACAGTTAAATGGATGTATAAAATGTTAAGAAATAACTGTGTTCCTTAAAATCATATGTTGGAGTTCTAGCACCCAGGTTTTCAGAATACAACCTGTTTGAAGATAGGGTCTTTAAGGAGGTAATTTTGTGAGGATGAGATCATTACAGTGGGTTTTAATCAAAAGAGACCAAAAAAATACGAAAACAGAGGGAGAAGACAGCTATTCCTAGGCCAAGAAAAGAGGACTCAGAAGAATCCAACTCTGTAGACACATTGGTTTCAGACTTCTAGCCTCCAGAACTGTGAAAAACAAATTTATATTGTTTAAACTGTCCAGTCTATGGTTCTTTGTTATAGTGACCTTAGAAAAACAAATATATTAAACAAAGAAAAGGCAAGCAAATTTAGTAGTGTATACCCTCAAGAATGTAGACATAGTTTTGATAAACTATTGGTAATAACTCAATTAGTCATTTTGTAACAATCACAGTAATACAGACATCATGTATTAGAATGTAAGACAACATGGACCTCATAAGATAGTAATCAGTAAATAGACATGCAACAATAAAAACATTTTCTGGTAAAATGTATGGTTTATGATGGCAGAAAAATGGCACTGTATCATGCTATCCCTAAGATAAGGTATTATATCATGCTGTACCTAATATAAGGTATTAGTCCATTTCTGCACTGCCATAAAACAAATACCTGAGACTGGAACATTTATAAAGAAAAGAGGTTTAATTGGATCACAGTTTTGCAGGTTGTACAGAAAGCATAGCACCTTATGCTTCTGGGGAGGCCTCAGGAAACTTATAGTCATGGTGGAGGGCAAAGGGGAAGCAGGCAGGTCTTACATGGCAGGAAAAGAAGCAAGGGAGCCAGGGGAGGTGCCACACAGGTTTAAACAATGAGATGTCATGATAACTCACTCACCATTGTCAGAGTACCAAGGGGAAAATCCACCCCCAAGATCCAATCATCTCCCACCTCCAACATTGGAGATTACAATTCAACATGGGCAGGGACAGAGATACAAACCATATCATTCTACTCCTGACCCTTCCAAATCTTATGTTTTTTTCACATTGCAAAATATGATCATTCTATCCCAACATTCCCCCAAAGTCTAAATTCCTTCTAGCATTACTGAAAAGCCCAAAGTTCTAAGTCTCCTCTGAGACAAGGCTAGTCCCTTCCACTTATGAGCCTGTAAAATCAAAACATGTTGGTTACTCCCAAGGTACAATGGGCATATGGGCAGTGGGTAAATGCTCTCATTCCAAAAGGGAGAAATCAGACAAAGCAGAAGAGCTACCAGTCCCACGCAAGTATGCACAAAAGTGTGGCAGTCATTAAATTCTTAAATTACCAAAATAATCTCCTTCAATGCCATGTCCCACATCCAGGACACACTGAGGCTATGGATAGTCTCCCAAGGCTTTAGGCATCTCCATCCCTGTGGATTTGCAGAGCTCAGTTCCTGAAGCTGCTCTCAAGGGCTGGTGTGGAATGCCTGTGGCTTTTCCAGGTGCAGGGTGCAAACCGCTGGTGCATTTATGATTCTTCAGTCTGAATAAGGGTGGCTCTCTTCTCACATCTCCACTAGACATTGCCCAAGTGGGGACACTGTGTAGGGGCTCCAACCCCACAATTCCCCTCTGCACTGCCCCAGTAGAAGTTCTTCATGAAGGCTCTGTCCCTACAGCAGGCTTCTTCCTGGACATCCAGGCTTTTCCATACATCCTGGGAAACATAGGTGGAGGCTCCAAAGCCTCAACTCTTATATTCTGCTCACTCACAGGCTTAACACCACATGGAAGATGTCAAGGCTTATGACTTGCACCCTCTGGAGTAGTGGCTTGAGGCTTTGAGCTGATGCTGGAGACCAACCAGCCAGGACATGGGAAGCAGTGTCCTAAGGCTGCACTGAGCAGCAGGGCTCTGCTCCTGGCCCACAAAACCATTCTGTCCTCCTAGGCCTTCAGGCCTGTGATGGGGAGGGCTGCCATGAAGGTAACTGAAATGTCTTTGAGGCCTTCTCCTCATTGTCTTGGATATTAGCACTTGCCTTTCTTTTAGTTATGCAAATTTCTTCAGTCAGCTTGATTTCCTCTCCTGAAAATGGCTTTCCTTTTATACCACATGGCCAAGCTTCTCTTTCAAATGTAAGTTCCAATTTTAGGTCATTTCTTTGCTCATTCATATGAGCATAGGTTATAAGAAGCAGCCAGGTCAATTCTTGAATGTTATGCTGCTTAGAAATTTCTTCCACCATGTACCCTAAGTCATCACTCTCAAGTTCAAAGTTCCACAGATATCTAGAGCAAGGACTTTCTTCTAAAACATAGCAAATGTGGGGCTGGGCACGGTGGCTCATGCCTGTAATCCCAGCACTTCGGGAGGCAGAGTTGGGTAGATCACGAGGTCAGGAGATCGAGACCATCCTGGCCGACATGGTGAAATCCCATCTCTACTAAAATACAAAAAATTAGCCAGGTGTGGTGGCACGTGCCTGTAGTCCCAGCTACTCAGGAGGCTGAGGCAGGGGAATTGCTTGAACCTGGGAGGTGGAAGTTGCAGTGAGCCAAGATCGTGCCACTGCACTCCAGCCTGGTGACAGAGCAAGTCTCCGTCAAAAAAAATAAAAAATAAAAATAGCAAATGTGACCTTTACTCCAGCTCCAAATAAGTTCCTCATGTACATCTGAGACATCCTTAGCTTGGACTTTATTATCCATATCACTATCTGCATTTTGTTCACAACAATTTAACAAGCCTCTAGGAAGTTCCAAATTTTCCCTCGTCTTTCTGTCTTCTTCTGAGCTTTCCACACTTTTCCAAACTTTGCCCATTACCCGGGTCCAAAGGTGCTTCCACATTTTCTGGTATCTGTAGCAAAGCCCCACTCCTCAGTACCAATTTTCTGTTTTACTTCATTCTTACACTGCTATGAAGAAATACCTAAGACTGGGTAATTTATAAAGAAAAAACGTTTAATTGGCTGACAGTTCTACAGGTTCTGCAGTACAAGAAGCCTAAAGGCTTTGGCTTCTGGGGAGGCCTCAGAAAGCTTACAATCATGGCAGAAGGCAAAAGAGAAGCAGGAACATCTTACATGGCAGGAGGAGCAAGAGAGGAAAGGGGAGCTGTCACACACTTTTAAACAACCAGATCCCTTAAGAGTTCACTCAATATTGTGACACAGTACCAAGAGGAAAATCCACCCCCATGATCCAATCACATTCCTCCCAGGCCCCACTTCCAACATTGTGGATTACAATTCAACATGAGATTTGGGTGGGTGCACAGATCTAAATCATATCAACACTAAATACAAGTTAATTGAAAAAAAAATGCATTGTAAATTTTGCATATGCATCTTTGTGGAGATCTAACTTTGTATATTATACTCTAACTCTTATTTATTGTGATTTCTTGGTATTATCAGCCAGACACTTTTTACTCCCAGAATTTTCAATGTAGCAATAGCATTAATGTATTGAGTATTAATGTAATACTTAAATTACTAGCATTGATTTTCTCCTACAAAGCATGTTTTAAAATATTCATAAACAGGCTTTCTATAAATAGAATTTTGTAAGTACTGATGTGGTCTGTTTGATAAACCTGCCCATTTTTCATTCAATAGAATAATATGAAACATAAATTTTACTTTTATTAGATTCTGGAGAATTAGTAAATGTGCAACTTAATATGTAACAGACACACACTATCCAATATATAAATATGATTTTAGATTGAACTGTCATTAATTAAAGTGATTGTAGACAAAATGAGGTCATAGTAATAGATTAATGGTATTTTAGTATGTGTTAAGTAGCATAATGCTTAACAATGTCTATTGTGATCAAAATTAACACTTACTGGTGAAATTACACAAATAATAGTCAAACTCATTTGTTTGCCATGTTACTGTAAATTTGTGAAAGCAATAAAAAATAACATCATCACTTTTTTGCCACAACTATTTTTAATAATGATACCCTGGCATCACAGTTTTGGTAAAAATTATCCATTTCACAAATCAAAAACACAGAGAAACATCAACAAGATGGCAAAATAAGAAGTCTCAGATCTTCTACCCCTATAGGAACATCTATTTAAAAATGATATATTGACCAAAATCCTGTATGAAAAGAATCAAAATAAACTGATTCAGAAGAAATTGAGATTCTAAAGACATAGAGATCTATTATTTACACGACAAAGAATTCAAAATATTTATCTTAAAGAAGCTCAATGAGTTATAAGAGAACACAGATAGATAATTAAACAAAAATCTGGACTATAATACATAATCAAAATGAGAACTTCTACAAAGAGAATTATACATTAAATAAACCCTAGAGATTCTGGAGCAGAAGAATATAATAACTGAAATAAAAAAATTCATTAGAGACGTTCAACAGTAGACTTGATCAAGCACAAGAAAGAACCAGAAAACTTGAAAACAGTTCATTTGAAATTATCCCATCAGAGGAGTAGAAAGAAAACAAGAATGATAAACAAGTGAAGATAATCTAAGGTACTTATTAAGCATCATTAAGCAAACAAATATCTCATTATAGGAATTTTAGAAGAAGAGAAAAGAAGTGAGTAGAAAGTTTATTTAAAGAAATAATGGCCCCAAACTTCCCAAATCTTGGGCAGGATATGTACACCCAGAAATTGAAAGTACAGCTAGCATATTCAGCAATCCCACTTCTGGGTATATATTCAAAATAACTGAAATCAGGATCTCAAAGAGACATTTTCACTCCCATACACATTACAATACTATTCACAATAACCAAGATATGAAGCAATCTAACAGTCTTCAGCAAATGAGTGAATTTTTAAAATGTGATATATTCATACAATAAAATATTATTCTACCTTTGAAAAAAGGAAATCTTGTCATATACAATAATGTAGACGAACCTGGTGTATATTATGCTAAGTGAAATACATTAGTCACAGAAGGACTAATGATGCATGATTACACTTACATGTGGTGTCTTAAATACTCAAACTCGTAGAAACCAAGAGAAGGTGGTGGTTCCCGGGGGCTGGGGAAGGGGTAATTGAGCAGTTGCTGTTTAATGGGTATAAATTTGGTTAAACAAAATTAGTAAGTCCTAGAGATCTGCTGCATAACATTGTGCCTATAGTTAACAATACTGTATTATGCATGGAAGTTTTTATTTAGAGTATAGACCTCATGTAAAGTGTTCTTAGTATAGTGAAAAATAACATAATTACAAAACTTAAACCTGGGTCTTTTTACCATACTTTGGTAACTACAAAATGGAAACATATTGGAAAAACAACACTGGTCTAAACTTTAAAGCACTAATTGGAGATAGTCTTACTATTGGAAATTATTGGCAAAAGGTACCCAGTCTATTTAATACTGCTGTATCCAAAGTGCTCACATGTCTAAATGGAAACTTTAATTCTAGTAAAATCCCTTGCTAGTATGGGGATTTTATTATTTTCACTAGCTAATATATTAACTCTCACAAATCATAGGATTTGGGAATGGAAATAAATTTTCTGGGTACTTCATCTAGTTCAATCTACTCATTATATAAATAAATATACTAGTCCAATCTACTCATTATATAATTATTTATATATTACATAATATTTATATATTTATTATCATATAGTTAATAAGTATTATATAATGAGTAGATTGGAAGATCATCTAGTCTAATCTACTTATTATATATTTATTATTTATATATTTATTATCATATAGTATATTTAATAAATATTATATAATGAGTAGATTGGACTAAATTATCTTCCCAGAAAATTTTAGACCAAGAATATTTTGGTCAAATTTGGTTGATTGGGAGTGGACACAAGGATAAAATTAAGGTCTTTATCTTCTTCACTAATAAGGAGGGAAGAAGAATCAAACAATCCACAAAGTGTTTACAAGGTTTCTAGGTATGAGTTGTTTCTTCTGGTAATCATTTGTTTGCATATTTTATAGATAGAGTCTTATTTTAATAGACATTAACTGGATAATAAAGGAAAAACCTGATTATCTGTATTCAGATTTATGACTAGAGAAAGTAAAGAATTTAGAGATTACTTATAACTACTATGCAGAGAGACTTTAAGGACTCTCTCTGTAGCACCTCTATTTTAAAAGAAGTCTCTAGTCTTCTTGTAGAAGAGGTTCTTACACTGCTGGTTGTGCCTTATGAGGGTTGGTCCTCATTGAATTGCTTCTTTAACCAAAGATACACAAAGTGCAACATTAGATAGATCAATTCCAGACCTGGTGAATCAGAAGGTTCAGTGTATTAGCAAATATTCAGGTCAGCTTCTTTTCACAGAGGCTTCAAACAGTAGTAATTTAAAGAAGGTAAAACTCAATTTTTTCATAATTTAGTGAAAGAAGTCAAAACTTTCTGTGCTGACAAGAAGAGACAAGACCTTTCAAATAAATGGAAGATTTGTCATTGTAAGAAAGAAAGCTTGAGCTATCATTATAGGGGAAAGAAACAGAAGACATAGGTAATAAATCGGATTGATCATTTTGTTGATGGGATGATAAGGTAATTCATATATTATTCATTTATTTTCATTTTGAAAATAAGTTTCAGAGAAGCCATAAGCAAATATAGGTACTTGTTTGTATATACATGTGGAGACAGTGGGGTTTAAACTGAAGACTTCAAGGGCTTATAATAATTCTGTATTCCTAACATTTGGTGTAAATGTCCATGTTGGCTAAAACAATTTGTTAAATGAATAAATTATGTATATTTAAAATGTATGATAATTACATTTTCTTGTGTCTATGTATATTATCTACTAAAGTGCTTACAGCTATGGTCTCTGAAGTCCTTAAAAATGTTTCTAAAGTATTACATAGAACGCTTGTTTGCTTAAACTCAGCACTAAGTCATTGCTGAAGAACTAAAACCCAAACAAAAACCATCAAAATTCTAATTCCCCCAGGCCACCATAATTTCTACGTAATAGTGAATTTCTGAGATTTTTCAAACATTCATTATCGTAGTCTGCTCTGTTTCACTTTAATCTGAACTGTAAATACAGCAGTTAATTTTTTTCTCTGCATGCTGTATCATTTAAGCCTATAGAATATGCTGGAAAGGAAAAAAAATAAAAACAAGGGAAAAAACTCTACTAAATAGCCATAAAATTCTTCACAAAATGGAAAATGGAATGGTTATATTGATTATTTTAGTGCCAGAGATGTTCCATGTTGCAAGTTTGACACCTTTTGAAGTTGCATTTGCTATTTTAGGCGGTTAAGGCACTATTTAATGAATCAATTCAGTCATTTAGTCAATAAGAGTATCCTTTCCTTTTAAAAGAGTTAATATACCTTTTTCAATGATGCTTCGTTTATGAAAAATAAATAGTTAAAACACTTGACAAATCAGACTTAATATTAGTTAAAATGCCCCAGTGATACACATCTTGTTTTCATACAAACTCATAGACTCACAAACGAAGAAGCATTCTCTGTTCAGAAATGTCAGTGGAATGAAACAATGTCATAGAATAATGATCTCTTGTTCCCACAAATGCCTAGGGAAAACTAAGATATTCATTTTCAAAGCAGGAAACATTGATCCACTGGGTATGTCCTATTAAAACAATTTATTTTATTCCATCAAATAGCTGATGTAAATTCAGTCATTTTAGTCTGATGGATATGAATTTCAGAGAATGGCATTTTTGTGCTATAATACTGCTAAAGAGATGAAAATCATTGCATTTTGCTTTGGTTTATTTGTCAGAAAATGGAATTAAGTTTGTTCATGAACACACTAAGGTTTAATGTTAGCAATTTAGAAATGGTATATACTGATTTTTTCTTTGATTTCTTTTCAGTAAACCTTTTTCAGTTCTAATGGTCATTCAGTTACATAATTCTGAATTATGTGCATTCTATTGAGAATTCTATACATTGTTATATATCAGAAAGTCAGTACTATAACATAACATATGAAGATTTGTGGCCAGTGACTGTTCAAATGAAGGTAAATGTTACCATAATAAAACAAATGATGGAGAATCATGTCTCGTTTTGATAGTATTTTAATCTGAACAGCAAAATGGAAAGATAGCCAGAGCTCCAGGGGGAAAGACAAAAAAGCAGAGATTTATTTGTTCAAATAATGTGCATGTACATGCGTATAAGTTTGTGCACAGATGATCTGTAGGTAGACACATTTCCCATGATGAATAGTCACATAATCTCTTAGAATATGTTTCATACCTGCCCTTACTGTGTATATTGTAGCACATGTGTTTTATTGGTAGTTCACTGTACTTTAGTGATACAAATTAATGAATTCAGAATAAACCTTTATATTGTTATTTCATTTTATCAGAATCTAAATTCCCTGCTATCACCATTTCTATGGCTGGGTAAATGCAGTGATTTTTTGTCAGTAAAGCACTTTAAACTATGCAAATAAAAGTTAGAGTCAAAGGAAAAAAAAGTACTTTTTTATTAAAACAATGTCTACTTTCTTTCAAAAAGAGGTCACACATACAGCACTTCTGAAATGACTTTATAGGTAGTGAGATTCAGTAAGAGGAAAGCTGTACAAAATATCCAAAGAAATGTGTTTATCTCAGGGTTTATCATTTTATTTAAAGGAAATGAGTATCCAATTCTTTGCCAATATACATCAAGAAAAGGTGAGGTCATGCCATACACTTATCATGCAGTGTCACCTACTCTAGCCACTTCTGCTAAGCTTCTCATATTTTCTCCTTTTTATACCTATACAAATCAGTCTGGCATATGTTCTAATTTTTTCTGTACCTTCTTCATATAGTTTTTTTCTGTAAAGGTAGCTCCTATGTTGAGACATAATGCTGTTTAAACTGAAAAAGACTATCCAGGCATCATCAGTTGGGGAAGATACTATACAGTTGAACTTGGTAGTTTATACAGATACACAGCACTGTATATTGTAAGTAGAAAGGGTAATAATGGAGATTTGTCATAGGAAAGTAAATCAACAATGAGAACACTTGGACACAGGAAGGGGAACATCACACACCAGGGACTGTTGGGGGTGGGGGGAGGGAGGAGGGATAGCATTAGGAGATATACCTAATGCTAAATGACGAGTTAATGGGTGCAGCACACCAACATGGCACATGTATATATATGTAACCAAGCTGCATGTTATGCACATGTACCCTAGAACTTAAAGTATAATAATAAAAAAATTTAAAAAATAAAACAAAATAAATAAATAATCAATAGTTAAGAAAAAAAAACAAGAACTTGGTTGTTCTCGTTGAGGCAGAATATAAAACAAGACTTACTGGCTAGTAAGCCAGGGTTTGAGTGACCTCAGACTCAACAAAGTTCCTTCTGCCTAAGAACATAATGTTAACAGAGTTCCAGCAGGCACATTTAGCTTACATATGCAAAGTAAATGGCCCTAGATTCTCAAAGGAGATTATTGATAGGGCAGGTAGCCAAGTGTGTCTGTACAGGTTGGCATTATGTGGGCTTTAAGATTGCTGTTTATTTCCCTGAATATAAGGACACCAAGTGGGCATTGTCCAAGTTTTCACATGTCCCTGTACTGGCTGGTCACTGACTGTTAGCTATGCAAATGTCACTAATGTCTAACCGACTTCTTCACAATACACACATACTGAATGAATATTAGATCAAAGAGTCACTCTAATACGTATACTTACCATTCACAGTTACATGTTAAAAAGAGCAATGCAGAGCCAAGATTGCTTTATTATTTCATCCTGCTTTGACACAATGTTTATTTTTTCATTTTTCTTCTCTTCTGTTCCTTCAGATTTTGACATGCTGTACTTCTTACTCAAATACAATTTGACTCATAAAATAAATAAAATAAAGAAACAACAACTAAACTTCCTCTCTCTTTTCATCAGGTCCCATGTTCACTTCTCCGTCTAGGTTGGAGTCAACCTCACAGTTGGCTCAGAAACCTTGAAATCTGGAGATTTTCTCCATCGTGAAATATATTATTTTAGGTAATTTTCACAATTAGATGACACAATAGATTAACTAGAGCTTTACTTGGAACCTCTTTTAAATTCAGAAATCAAAATAGAAGATGCATTTTATTTTAATATTTGACAACTCAAGAATCATTCATGAAACATTTCTCACTTCTCCACCCACTGATGTTTTTATATGTTTCACCAAGAGCTATTTTTCTCCAAATCATTCTACCATCTGAGATACATTAGGGCAGAAACATTTCTTTTCAAATGTATTTTTAGTGACTTTTTTGCTTGGTAGAAAAAAATCAATTAGAATACACTTAAATACTCTAATTTAGTATTAAAAATTATAACCAGTAGTACCAACATTTTCTTGATTGTATTTCTAAAGGAAAAGTGAAATGAGGATATATATTGGCACTTTTAATGGAATCAATCAATACAGTTCCAAATCATTCTGCTTTATCTTAAAGTGCCTTTGTTAAAAAATCTATAGTGACTAATTTATGAACTCCTAAAACCATTTAATAACATGGTTTAACCTTTGAAGTGTTTCATAACTTTAAAAAGTCCAATGAGTGCCATAATCTCAGAATTACTAACTTCATTTCATGTAGTAGAATATATACAAAAGGGCCTAGATCCGCCTTAATTTTACTGAGTATACTTCTTTATACAACCCCTTCTACACCTGCATTATTTCTGCTATCGTAAGTCAAAAAGCTATTTCTGTTTAGAAACGCTGAGGTCAGGAGAGAATTTGTTAGCAGGTTGCACGTTTAGAGTAAAGTGAAAATATCTATTGCCAGAAAATGATACAATTTTAAAGACAACCTATGTAGGTACAATGTTGCTTCTTATGTTTCAGTCACCAAATGTGTATTTGTGCCATACTGCACACCAGAAGCTGTATAATCACAGAATATTGACAGGTGACTTTTTATAGTTTGTTTACCAAGATCTTGGCTTAGTTTTATACACATATGTAGCATTTATATGTATGTGCCTCTTAAAAGAGTTAATATATCTTTTTCAATGATGCTTCACTTATGAAAAAGAAATAGTTAAACCACTTGACAAATCAGACTTAATATTAGTTAAAATGCCCAGTAATATACATCTTGCTCTCATACATACAAACTCATAGACTCACAAAGGGAGAAGCAATCCCTGTTCAGAAATGTCATGCATGTGTGAGTGTGTGTGTGTGTGTGTGTATAATGTTTGGAACATCCAACCATTTATTAAGTGAGCATTTCAACTTCGTTAATCACACATAGAAAATAAAATATATGACATATTTCCTAGTAGCAAGTACATATAGTCTTAGTAGGAAAAAAAGACAACAAATATAAGTTAATAGAAAATAATATAAAATGATTCATCAATTAATGACTTTTTTGGGATGTGGGGGCTAATGGTTTCCTTAAGAACTGAGAGGAGATGGAGATCACTGCAGAAAAGTCAAATACAAGGTAAATGGCAAGGTAGTGTTTTGCTTTGCACTGGCAGACCCATAGAAAATGTGTAGGCTAGAAATATAGGAAGGGGCTGCCCAGATTATAGTAAAAGCAAAATGAATTCAGAGGCTTCTTACGTCATTGCCTAAATCAGTTATTCTCACATGGGAGTGATTTACCCCGCCTCCTCCAGGAGACATTTGGCAGTGTCTAAAGACATTTTTCATCGTCATGACAGGGCTGTAAGTGTGAGCACTGAGAAAGTCGGGAGTGGGGAATAGGGAGCTTGACTAGTATCCAGGGGGGCTGCCAAACTTTCTACAATGTACAAAATAGTTCCCTCATAAAAATTAATTGTCTAAAATGTCAGTAATGCCAATGTTGAAAAACCTTGGACTAAATGTACGAGTCTGGCTTGCGAGTTTCTCACATCTTGCATCCTACATTAGGTTGTAGGACAGCTAAAAAAGTGCCCTCCCCGAATCTATCTAGCCATATAAACGGTAGTAGCATGATTTTGAGATCTTAATGAAAAGATATAGTAATAGAAAAGCTTATTCTGAACCCATTAAATTGCATCATTGAAACCAAGTAAAGTGCAAATAAGTAAGTCTGTGTACCATAGCATGTACCATAGGCTGTCTTTCCACTTATTTAATTTAATTTATTTGTTTTCGTTTTTGTTGATACAGGGTCTTGCTCTGTCACCCAGGCTGGAGTGCAGTTACACAATCATGGCTCACTGCAGCCCCAAACTCCTGGGCTCAAGTGACTTTCCCATTTTAGCCTCTGGAGTTGAATAGCTGGGTGGGACTACAGGTGTGTGGCAGAACATCCAGCTAATTATATAATTATATAAAAATTGTATAATTTATATTATATAAATTATAAATAAATATATATGTATATATAAGCACATGTATATATATGTGTGTGTATGTGTGTATATATATATATATATATTTGTTTGTTTGTTTGTTTGTTTGTTTTTGTAGAGACAGGGTCTTCCTATGTTGCCCAGGCTGGTCTCAAACTCCTGGACCCAAGTGATCCTCCCACTTTGGCCTCCCAAAGTGTTGGCATTACCAGCATGAACCATTGTGTCCAGCCTGTCTTTCCATTTATTTAAATCTTCTTTTAATTTCTGTCAACAATCTTTTGTAGTTTTCAGTAACCAAGTTTTGCATTTAAATTTACTCTTAAGTATTTCATTTTTTAAATGGTATTATAAGTTGAATACATTTTTAAATTTATATTTTGAATTCTTCATTGCTAGGGTATAGACAGTTATTTTTCAATATTAGTCATGATTCTTTTAATATGTGGTATAATTCACCAGTGAAGCCATCATGGCCTGAGTTTGTGTGTGTGTGTGTGTCGGGGTGGCAGGGGGGAGGGGGATATTTTAAAATTATAGATTTAATCTCTTTATTTGTTATAAGCCAGTTTATATTTTCTATTTCTTAAGTTACTTTTGGTAGTTTGTGTCTTTCTAGGACTTCGTTCGTTTCTTCTAAGTTATGTGGTGTCCTGGCATAGAGTTTCACAGTATTTCCTAATTGTTGTTTATACTTCCGTAAGTTTGGTAGCATTGCTCTCTTTCTTTTCTGATTTTGGTAATTTACATCTTCTCTTTTTAAATTGTATGGTTAATGTAGATGAAGACCTGTTAATTTGTTGTACTTTTTAAATACCAGATTTTGGGCAATCTTAGATTTTCTTTATGGTTTATACGTTTATCATTTAATTTATTTATGCTGTAATCATTATTGTTTCTTCTGTTTTCTGTATATACTTAGTTTGCCTTTGTTTTCCTAGTTTCTCAAGGTGGAAGGTTAAATTTGCTTTCAAATTTTAACTCTTCTTTATAGAATTTATAGCTATAAATGAGCTCTGTTTTAGCTGTATCTGATAAGTTTTACTTTGTTGTATTTTAATTTTCATTAATCACAAAGTATTTTCTATCTTTCATTGTGATTTTTTTAACCTATTGGTTATTTATGTTGCTTAATTTTTGCGCATTTGTGAAATTCTTAAATTTCTTTTTGTTCTTATTTTTAATTTAATTCCACTGTGGTCCAAGGACATATGTTGTACTTTTTCCATCTCTTTAACCTATTGTACTAGCATATGGTCTATTCTGAAAATATTCCAAAAGGTTTTGAGAAGAATGTATTTTTCTGATTTTTGGTGGAGTGTTCTATGGATTTTTATCAGGTGTAGATGGTTGATAGTGCTGTGCAAATATTGTGTTTTATTTTTGAGCTTCTGAAAAGCTATTACATTAGTTGTTTAAGTAGATTATTAAAATCTCCAAATACTAATTTTAAATTCCCTCTCTCAGTTTTGTCAGCTTTTGTTTCTTGTATTTTAGGGCTATATTGTCAGTTGCCTGTAGATTTATAATTATTACATCTCTTTAATACATTGACTTTTTGTCACCATGAAATGCCCCTCTTTAACTTTAATAACACTTGTTTGTTTTAACCTCATCTAATTTTAGTATAGCCAGTCCGGCTTTACTATCGTGGTGGTTGTTTTCACACTTCTAGCTTTTTCTTTTCAACTTATTATTTTTTTTTTAATCTAAAGTGCATCTTCTGGCTAGCTGTGGTGGCTCATGCCTGTAATTCCAGCACTTGGTGGGGGCATGGTGGTAGTATAACTTGAGCCCAGGAGTTGAAGACCATCAAGGGCAACACAGCAAAATGCCATCTTTAAAAATAAATAAATAAATAAATAAATAAGGAAAAATAAATAAAGTATGTTTTCTCCGCTAGAGTATAGTGGGAACATGTTTTATTTTTAAATCTAATGTAAAAATATCTGCCTTTGAATGGATTATTTTATCAATTCACATTTAATGTTATTATTAATATGATTTGATTCATATCTTCCATTTCTTTTTTGCCTAATATATATCTTCATCTATTTTTCTACCTTTGTTCTTCCTTTAGTGACTTATTTGTATTAAATGTGTATTTTCTGGAGCAACATTTTAATTATCTTCATGCTTTTTAGTTACAATTTTAAATTATTTTATTAATTATTTAAATTATTCCTAGAGCTTACAATATAATCTCAACTTATCAAAAACTTACAGATTTCTACTAACATAATTCAAGTGAAATATAGAAACTTTACTCCTTTATAGAATCATTCTCTCCAAACTTATGCTGTTATTATTACACATATTATGTGTATACATATTAAAAACCCTATGATCTATTTTTATAATTATTACTTTATATAATATTTGTATTTTTAAAAAGCTAAAAAAATAAAGGGCAACTGTATATTTAGAGAGTTTGTTGTATCAACCTTCTTAATTACAATTTCTGGTTCTCTCCATTTCCTCTGATATATTTAAGTTACATTTTGCTGTAATTTCCTTACATCAGTACAGCTTTGCTCAAGCCAACTTTTTTGTGCTTTTATTGGTAAATATGTTACATTTACATGTATCATATCCCAATAAGATAAATATATATATTGCTTATGCAATTGCCTCTTAAACAAGAATAAAAAGGATAAGACATATGTAATTATACTTTCTTTTGTAATTATATAATTTTCTTTATTGGTATTTGTTATTTTTTTGTGTACTTGAATGATCATCTGGTGTTATTTGCTTTTAGCTTAAAGAATTTCCTTTAAGTATTTCTTGCAGAGCAGGTCTGCCGGCAACACATTATATACATCTTTTTTGGTTTGGAAACATTTTTATTTTGTCTTCATGTTGGAAAGTTATAGTTGCTGGATACAGAATGCGTAACAGACAGGTGTTTTTTTTTTAACTTTTATCTCATTGAATATATTGTCCTTATGATTTCAGGTCTCCATTGTTTCTGATGAGAAGTCAGCTGTTAATCTTATTGGGGTTCACTTGTAGGTCTTAGCTACAGTTTCTCTCTGACTGCTTCAACATTTTTTGTTTTACCTTGCTTTTTCACACTTTGAGTTGGATAGGTTTAGATGTGATCTCTCTGTATTTATTCTATTTGGAATTTGTTTAGTTTCTTGGTTGCATAAAAGTTTGTTTTTTTTTCATCCATTTGACAATTTTTTTGCAAATATTTCTTCAAATATTTTTGACCTTTTCCTTTTTCTTCTGTTTTACTTACTCTTGTTAAATATATGTAGGCATGCTTAATGGTGTTTCATACTTCTCCAAGGATCTTTTATTTTTCATTGTTTTTATCTCTGTTTTTCAGTCTGCATAATATCAATTGATGTACCTTAAAGTCTTGCTGATTTCTTCTTCTCCCACCTGAAATACAATGTTGAGCCCTTCTAGGGAAATTTTTACTGTGGTGATTGTACTTTTTATCTCCAGAATTTTCATTAGGTTTTAAAACATAATTTCCATATTTTAATGATATTCTCCCTTTGATGAAACATTGTTACTATACCTTCCTTAATTATTTGGGCATGGTGTTCTTTAGATATGTGAACATATTTATAAAATTACAATAATATAATAACAGCTTTAAAATCTTTATCTGCCAACTCCAATATCTAGGTCACTTCAAAACATTTCTATTGACTTTATTTTTTCTTTTCGTCAAAGTTTCTTATTTTTTAATTGTTGTTCTTGTTATTTTGAATGTCTCATAACTTTTGTTCAAAACTAGACATTTTGGACAATTTATTGCAGCATTTCAGGATACTGATGCCCTAACCAAGATGCTAATGTTTACCTAGAAATTTAGTTATTTAATGACTTGGCCAAACTAACTATTTTACATCTTTTCCGATGGCTACATAGGCATCGCGTCTGGGTCAACAGAATTGCTAATAGTTGTGCTTCAGCTTTGTTGGCTAGTCCGATTGCTCTCCCTTACCATTAGATGTATGTGTGTTTGTATGTGTATGTGCACACACATGCTCATGTTTGTGGCTTACATACTGCCATGACAGTTCAAGTTTATGTTTTTTCTTTGTTTAGCCAGGAACTAGCGTTTAGATTTTCTCTCTCTAATTATTCCCAGGAGGACGCAGCTTTGAGTATGCATATATACTCTCAGACATCCAAGAATTAATGTGATTTTATTTTTAAGTCTGGCTTCCTAGAAATTACTCCTGGGTCAGAGTAGCTTGCTTTCAGCCAGTTGGGTCAGAGATTGTGCTTAATCCCCTAGTTCCAGTGAGGATTCCACTCTCTATTTATTGACCTACATGAATTATGGGGAAAGTTTTCAAGTATTCCCCATGACCTGTTCCAATTCCTCCTGAGTGAACACTGCTTAGTATTTATGCACAACGTTCCTGATCACAGAGGGTGACTGTGATCTCAAGACTGCTCTTCTTATTTGTGTCTTTTCCTGTTTCTCCCTGTTAAATTTCATATTGCTCTGCCTCTTCATCTGTAGCTACAGTATCGACTGCACTCTTTATCTTTATGGTTTTGAACAATGCTTTTGGAAGAAGGGGACTTCTTCTCCTTCGGGAAGAAGGGGCCAAGCTCTATTAATTGGCCCTGGTGGAGTAGTTCCTCGTTTTTTTGGCTTGCTCCTCCTGGCTTGGGACCTCCACTACACATACTAGCTGTGGTGTGAGTGTTCCTATAGCCCTTTGTTTCTGACCTACTGCATCTGGAGTAGAACTTATGCCCAACAAGTGAGGAATGGCTAGAGGAAGATAACCCTAGTCATCTCAGCTATGTCTTCCCAGAATAGAGCTTCTGTCATGCAGGGCCAGGGGAAATGGAAAACGCCAGCACTGTGCTCTCCCTGAGATAAAATTGTAACTCCATTCTGAAGTTAAAGAAAGAAGAAGCCTTCCCTTCTTTCTTGAGTACACCCATCTGAAGTAGAGGGTCAGGAATAGTTTCCATAAACTGAACCGGTTTATATGGACCAGAGTAGATTTCCTTGAATGAATATTCTCCCAATTGCTGTATATCTCTAAGCAACTTTTGAGAGGCTGCAGGTGCTTGTTTTACATATATATGTACATACACATATATATGTTTGTTGGGAAGAGTCTGCCATGCTCTTCACTCTGCCATTCTAGAATTGAGTCATATAACATACTTGTGTGTGTGTGTGATAGCTGACTACAGCTCATACCATAGTGTTCTCATTAAAATGTTCCAGGCACAAGGACAACCGATCCTAAAAAATGCAAAGACATCCTGAGAAAACGCTGTCTCACAACTAGATCCATAACAAACACAACTCTGTGGGCAATAAGGGTGGGAAAAGAGTGGAGGAATGGGTCATAAACATATTGTACAATGGAAAGCAATTACAATATACTGCTGAAAGAATCAAAAGCAAAACCAAAACAAAAAATGAAGTGGAGGACATAATATTTCCAATTACTATTTTAAAAATCTACTTAACTCATGGTTTACAAATTATAAATAAAAATTTAGGAAATATTTAATACAAATACGCCTGTTAGAACAGTTGTCAATATCTTTTGTGAGCTGTTAAACCATTTATAAAATTCAGGGGAATCATGTTTTAAATAGCAAATTATTCTGAGTTTTAAAAATGTATTTCCCATAGCTTCAGAGAAATATAAACTACCTCTGGCCTTACTCTCTGTGCATATTAAACTCTGGTTAAGAATATTCCTTAGTTGATAGTTTGTTCTTCCTGAAATGTTGCCTCTAGAGAAATTCCTAATGACAGCCACTCCTCTAAGCACTTTATTACAACTGCTTATCAATTAATTAATGAACAGAGGAATATCTTTAATGAAGCTTCTCACCTTTTTGGGAAGGCCAAATTAAAATCAGAAATCCCCTCTAGTGTGAAATAACAATTTTCCACTTTAAGCTAAATGATGTTATCAAAACCAAAGCGCCAACTGGTGTGTTTTCATTTACTGGCACGTTTTTCAGTGTCCATGATTTCCAAAAAGTATGGCACCGCGTGTGTGAGTGTGTTTGTGTGTGTGTGTCTGTGTACGTATGTATACCCATACACATATAAGTATATATATATATAACAATTATATACATATACACACACATATGTGTGTATGTATATACAGACATACACATACCCACGTGTGTGTGTGTGTGTGTGTGTGTGTGTGTGTATTTGGTCTAAATACTTTTCACATAACTCATTAGAGTAAAATCACAAGCCATAGAGAACATGGTTCTGTGTCAGCCATCATGGAACAGAGATAAAAAATAAATCTCTCAATATAAAGAATTTCATCCCACAGCTGTATAGCTACCTACAAATTTAGTATGATAAGGAATTAACCAGATGGCATAAAAATTGCAAAATTACGGGCTGGGTGCCGTGGCTTACGCCTGTAATCCCAGCACTTTGGGAGGCCGAGACGGGAGGATCACGAGGTCAGGGGATTGAGACCATACTGGCTACCACGGTGAAACCCCGTCAATACTAAAAATACAAAAAAAATTAACCGGGCGTGGTGGTGGGCGCCTGTAGTCCCAGCTACTCGGGAGGCTGAGGCAGGAGAATGGCGTGAACCTGGGAGGCGGAGCTTGCAGTGAGCCGAGATCGCGCCACTGCACTCCAGCGTGGGCGACAGAGCAAGACTCCGTCCCCCCCCCCCACCAAAAAAAATTGCAAAATTAACAAGGAATTTCTGTTCCAATATAGAATCATATTTCTAACAGAATGTATTTGTTTCTGGTTTTCTTTCAAAATAATTCCGATTATTATATCAACATTTAAAAAAAATCTTTAAAGCTTTCCATCTGTTTTCTTTTTAAGCCATGTTTCATTATCATTATCATCAAAGCATCAAAGTTATACAATCTGTTGTATACAAAATTAGACACATAGTCTTCCTTCTAAGAGGTTCCAGTTAAGAACAGCCCTGACTTATCTAAATGTAACATATGACAACACTCATATTATTTTTGAATTTTTTTAGTTTGCAAAGTTTCTTCCCACTGTAGAGAGAAAATTATGTTATTAATAATACTGTCCAGTATATTTCTTTCCTGTACCTGTAAAGGAATTTCCATGTCAATTTTCTTTTCTCTTTCTTTTCTCTAAATATGTGGTGTGTTTTTTTCTGTGGCTAATGAAAAATTGAAGATCCTTGAATGTCATGTTTGAGACTTTAGATAGTATTTACTGGAAATTAGTAGTTGTCAAATATGTTTTTAATCACAAGAATATGAAAAAATCTGCTCTTTTTTGGGTAAATCGTAATGCATTGGAAAATATAATTAAAGTTACCTACTCTAAAATCAAATGAAAAACTACTCTTTTGAGATTTATCTTTAAAAGTAGTGACAAACTAAGGACAGTGAGTATATTAACAATATTTATAATCTCGAACTTACTTTAACACATTTGAAATTTTGTTTCTGATAAGAGCTATTGCTTTCTTGCTCATTTTCCTGATTAAGGTACAGTAAAATATGCATATAACAATAAAATTGTGCTGTATTAAATATTTCTTATGCATAACATCCTTTTTATTAATTAATATTTATGTGTGTGTGTTAATAATACCAGAAGTATTATTGAAGTCACATTTGAAACTATGTGAAATAATTTGAAATTCTATCAGCAGATTACTGAGAAAAAGGAAGAAATGCGAGATTCAAAGAAGGGTTGGATTTTCCAAGGTTTCAGGATGCTGTTTATCCAAGGAATCCATTTGGAAACTATACCTCTTAATTCAGGATTCTGCCAAGACAATTTTGTTGAAGCTTCTCATAATTTCTCTGTATGTCTGTGTATTTGGGTTAGCTAAACTAATTTTAATTATTAAATTTTAATCCCATAATTTAAATATTAATAATGTATTTTACCCACTTAAGTTAGCTACGCTGGTTTTCTGTCTCTTTTGTCTTCTCATAAAATTGAAATACTTGAAAGTAGTGGCAAAAATAGATTTTAATCAAGGCTTTTCTATATCTTTATGCTGTATTATTTTGGAAGATACAGATAAATCAGTCTTTGGCTCCCAAACAAACACACAATTGAATGGAAAGATGAATAAATATAACTAAGTAAATGTAATAAATGCTCCAAAAGACATTCATTCAGAATGAGTTATTATTTTTGACAATTATGTACCTCCTTTTCAAAGTTCTACTTTTCATATTTTGTTTTCACAAGTCCATATGCAAATTATACATTTATTAACAAAATATTTCCCTTACTATTTCATTTTTATTAAGAAAATAATTATTTGCTTATAAGCAACACATAGCAAAAGACAATACAAATTTGATTTTGGATATGAAATACACTGTTGACTTTTTAATTGATACTAATAGTATTTAAATACAATATTTGGATGGTTCTATTTATAACAGCTAATAATTGCTTATTGAAATTAATGAAATCTGATCTACAGCAAACATTCCATTGAAATGTTTTAGTAATGATTCATTTCTACTAGAATGAATGGCATGTGTAGTTTATAGATCATGTCGTTACAGAAGGAAGGGACCTATTAGATCAGTAAGTCTAGGCTGTCTGCCTTGGTGGAATATAGTCCCTAAATAGAGGACAAAGAATTTGATCTTAGCCAAAAGGCCATGAACAAAAGCTATTTTAATTTATTGCAATTAAAATGAATGGGATTCAATCTAACACATTTATGAGGATGCGATAACTATCGAATCACATTCATTTCAGTGGGGTGTGTTAGTCATCCAATTCTATTCATTTCCATGGGGATCCGTTATTTATCACATCACATTTATTTAAATGGGGATTCATTAGCTAAAAAATCTAATTAGTTTCCATGTGCATGCATTAGCTATCATGTCATCCTTCCTTTCAAAGACAATTCTCTGGTTATCAAATCCCATGCACTTATGTTTGGATTGGATTCTAGAGTTTGAAAAAGCTGTTACTCTTAATTAAATGATGGCAATAAACTGTTATGGTTATTATACTGTTGAATATTGAAGAGTATTTTCTAAATATCCAAAGACATAGTCACCCCAATTTTCAATAGCTGAACGAAATGTCCTTTCAAACAATAAAACATTTAATTTAGCAGGTGTGCAAAGGACTGGTATGATTTTATAAAGACGTGGTATTATCTTTTCAGCTCAGGGTGTATCACTTTTTTTTCCTGTAGTCTAGCCTTTAAGTGAAGTTTTCATGTTCTGAGGGATTTTCAAAATGAAGGAAAAATGTCAGCCTGCTAAGACACCATAAGATTAGGTCCTTAGATTTATGAATTATGTACACTAAACCCATGCAATAGTATATGCATCATTATAATTATAATTGGATTGATTCTATTATTATTTCTTGGCCACAATTTCACCTTCTCAATTGTTTTTTAATTCATGCTTTAGGGATACCAGAACTTTCTTATGTCAGGTTTCCTTGTACCAAGTTAAAAAAATCACAGGATATTATCCATTGTTGAGATAGATTAAGCAACAAATTAAGTTACTTAGGCCAACATATATGCCTTTCTTAAATTATCCTGATAAATCTCCAATATATGCAGACAACTATAGCTTTCGTTGGCCTTAAAATATATTATATTTCAAGTAATAAAATGACTTGTCACATTAGTTTATAAAAAGTACATAAACTTTCTATAATGTGAAAATATTATGAGTAATATCTTCAGCTTGTGTTACTGCAAGAAGCCTCTTGGATTATTATGTGTTTACAACTTTGAGATAGTTATTGAATTATTTAGCTCTTTTTCAGTCGTAATACCATATTTCACTAATTGGAGGACCGTGAACATTGTATTTCATTTACTTTAAATCTAGCAATGCCATTATTTTCATGAAACCAGTTGTTTTTTTAGAAAAATACATGAAAAAGTTAAGAATTATATGTAGGTACTTCTTTATATAAGCATAAAAGTAAAATTTTGTGTGCCAGATACTAATCATTTTAGATTATTTTTCAAATTCAATCTCTTTAAGTTAAAATATATGTAATTATGTCTATTTATTTAATACTAGTTTAATATTATAATTTTATATTAACCATATTTTAAAAATAAAAAACAATAGAATAAAAACAAATTAAAAATAAATTTATAGTGACATGTTGAAATATCAGAATATACAGAATTGAATTTCATTAATGCCATTTATAATCTCTGAGACCTAGGCAACATACTTTGCTAGAGTTTCTATTTCTTCATCTGTGAAACAGGAGTAAATCAAAGCTACTTCCGAGATTGTTGTAAGAATTATATGATATAATCCTTGTACATTGCTGTTGAAGCTCAGAAAATGATACCCCAAAGTATGGTGCATTGGCACGCTGAGTATTTTCAATTAAAGGCAATTGAAAGGCCTCAGAAGCTCCTTCAGAATCAAGATTTCTCTAAACCTCTTTTATTTTTCTTCTTCCAAACTCAGGGAAGGACTCTCACTGGCGTTCTCTTTTCTGACTGAGGAAAGTTCTTCCAAAAGGAATGCAATTGCCTTGAGCTCCATTACTAGGAAGCTCATCCAAAAACAGTGAAGATTAATCACCAGAGGAGACATTAAAAGTCATCATTATTTTCAGATAAACCTTTGCCTATTCTTCAGGAGGCTATCCCAACACAATTTTATTAGCTGAGGAAATTTATCTGCATAATACAACAACCTTTGCTTATCATGTAGTTTGTCCTGTTTTCCTCCTGTAACGTATCACCACCTCCCCACAAATTCTCAAGCTTCTAGTCCTTTATGCTATATAATCAACAATCTGGCCCCTCCTTTGAGTGACATATTCTGTGAGGCTCCTCTGCACATGCATGTTATTAAAAGGTTTTTTGTTTGTTTATTTTGTTTGTTTGTTTGTTTTTACCGTTAATCTGTCTATTGTCAGTTTATTTCAGCAGACTCAATTACTGAAACTTCAGAAGGAAAGTTTAAACTTCCCTACACTGCTTACCATAGTACTTGTATGCATGCCTCCATAATACCTGCATAAATCTGTAGTACCTGTAAGTATATAGTATGTGCTTAATATGTTAGCTATTTCATTTCTAGTAAATTTTTAAATGATAAAAACTCAACTAATAATCAACCATAAACCAGGAAGGATTTTTTTTCATTTTTTCTTATGTAAAATAGATAAGATCAGCCATATTTTAAAGTGTAATACCATTATAACTCAGCAATATCAGTCATTTTGGCAGGATTATCAATATTTTATATATTCACTTATGTATGGAAAATGTATATTTGTTTTTGTTTGTTTGTTCATCTTGGGATTGAGTCTCCATCAACCAGGCTGGAGTGCAGTGGCACGATCTTGGCTCACTGTAACCTCTGCCTCCCAGGTTCAAGCAAGTCTCCTGCCTCAGCTTCCCAATTAGCTGGGATTACAGGTGCCTGCCACCACGCCCGGCTAATTTTTGTATTTTTAGTAGAGACAGGGTTTCACCATGTTGGCCAGGCTGGTCTCGAACTCCTGACCTCAAGTGATCCTCCTGTCTCAGCCTCCCAAAGTGCTGGGATTACAGGAGTGAGCCAGTGTGCCCGGCTGTAAAATGTCTATTTGTAACTGAAGCAAATAAAGATAATCCCAGGCTTATCTACAATTATTTTGAAACGTAGAAGTTTTCTTCTCATAGATATAATATTCAAATTGTAGTTGTAATCTTCATCTCAGTAAAACATGGCATTGATGGGAGGATATTGAGTGGTTGTAGAAACCATGGAGATAGATTAGCATGTGAATGATGCCCATGGGACCTTAGATTTTCTCCTTTCTTGTGAGTAAACATGGAGGTGCTAAAAGGGTTAATAAGCTAACCAAAGTCTTGAACTGGAGTAAAATGTCTCTTTATTCAGATAATTCAGCACTAAGGTGAAATGATCAGTGCCTTGCTCTAAGGAAGTAGGTACAACCATGTTTCCTGATGGACTATTTGTCTACATATGGTCAACTAGTGGTGTTAAAGAGCATCCTCCATTAAGTCTCATAAGCCTCATTTATCCTTACCATCTATCTTTTAAATTTATTACCTAAATGTTATGTTGAACAGAAACAGAGGGAGCTGAGTGCAGTGGGTGGCTCACGCCTGTAATCCTAGCACTTTGGGAGGCCAAGGTGGGTGGATCACTTGTGGTCAGGTGTTCGAGACCAGCCTGGCCAACATGGTGAAACCCCGTCTCTACTAAAATTACAAAAAGTAGCTGGGCGTATTGGCATGCGCCGGTATTCCTAGCTACTCAGGAGGCTGAGGCAGGAGAATTGCTTGAACCCGGGAGGTGGAGGTTGCAGTGAGCCACGATGGCACAACTGCACTCCAGCATGGGCGACTTCATCTCAAAAAAAAAAAAAAAAAAAGGAAACAGAGAGAAAAGATGAGACTTTGAAAGACTGAGTCTTTCAAGAACCTCAAGAACCTGAATGTCAAAGGGGAAGTGTAAAGTATTGAATCTAATGTAGATTATCAACTTTATCAGATTTGATCTTCCTCCTCCCTCCCATGCCTGTGAAGTATAAGATTAATTATGGAAAAATACAGAAACTTTATTTTTCTTGAACATCATGGATTTGTATAGTTGATCTTAATCCTATAATACTTATTTAATTCATTACATATCCTACACATTGGTTTGGCAAACTTGCATTCCAGATATCATGAGCTTTTAGAGTTACACAACCTTTAAACTCACGTCCCACTTTAATAAATGGTGGGAGTGAATATTTAGTTAGATTTTCTTCTCAATCTATTTTTAGGAATCCTCAAATAGGCGACTTTGAAATTTGCAGATTTATCCACAATGTAACTTATCTCATTACTATTTTTCTTTCATAAAAATCATCTATTTTATTTAATGTTTGTAATTTGCTCACTTATATTTAATATTCACTATTCAATACATAAAATTTTAAAATGTTCAATCAAGATTCAATGCCAAAAGGGCTACAGATCACATTGACCAACAGCGCCTTAACATTCCTCTTAGCTTAACTGACAGCCAATAGATTTCTCCCTGATACAGACCTATATGGCTTCTACTTCCTTGGAGCACTTACTTTAAAAAGCTTTCCATTGTAAATTTTTTTCTCTACTCCTTTAAGATGTAAATCTTCTTCCAGTCTCCTGCCAGTTTTCCAACCCAGGAATTTTTCTCTAGGACTCAAGAGCCATCTCTTTGAAATGTAATCATCAACAATGATAGATTCCCTATCTCCCAGTCTCTATGGGAGGGTAGAAACCAAACTTTGATAGTCAGCAATTAGTCAGCACAAAGGGCCTGATCACAGTAACTAACGTCCCCCCTCAGGCTGTCTTCCTGTGTTTTCCCACTAGCTCAACATAGTACTTAAAAACCTCCCTAGTTTTTGCTTACACAGTTCAGTCTCTCTACCCTATTGCAGTAGTCTTGAAGAAAGTCTTCCTAGTCTAACATCATCCAGTGTAATTTTTCTTTGGTGGTGTTTGTCTTATTCATGACTGTGTACCCATTAGTTAGCAGATTTTGTTAATGAGTATCTATTCTGTACTATGCTAGAAATACAATAACAAGATGTAGGCCCATCTCTTCTCTCAATGATCTCACTGTCTGCTGGAAGGTACAGGCCTATAAACCATATAGAGAATACAGTCACTACTACCATATAGAGAATACATTCACTACTTTACCCGAATTAACCTATGAACCTATGCATTCCCTAGATATTAGTGATTGACCCACGAAAGTTCATGGAAGAAACACTAAAATATAAACAGAAACCATAGCCAGAAATCCAGAAGCCTATTTGAGAGAATTACAGGGCAGACATTCACTGCCTTTTGGCTTCCCTGTTAGGAGAAAGGCAGTTATTCTAAAATATGACCCTTCAAGTTTTCCTGGAAGAGAAAAAAAATGGTGATGAGCAGACAGGGAAATATCTCTGGACTTAATACAGTTCCATCTTTGGGGCAAAGAAAAAATTATAATTCTGGGACAGTGGGAAGATCAGACTTTAGTTATTTTAGTCTGTATCATGGATATAATACTTCAAAGACCATGTTTATATTGCATTCAAGTACTTATTTTTAGCCTATCTCAGAAAAGAAGGCAGAATTCATAGCATGATGAAAAATTATAAAGTTATAAGATCTGCATTCTAGTCCAAGTCCTTTCAGGAGTAACTTTAAGACATTGGGAGAATCCACTATCTATACGAATTTCTCAATATTCTCAGTTATGAACTGAGAAATACTGAAGTACCTAAATCCAAGATTCCATGTATATTAAAAATATTTAACTATTTGTGATTCCCGAAAGCAGACACACTCAAAATATTTTATTATATGTCTGGTGACTATTTTTTGTTTGTATTTTAGTGATTTTATTTAATATTAATTATTTGGCCCCTTCCCCTCCACTGCCACATAAAGCTCTTAAAATTCTGGTTCTAATCTATCTCTGTAGCTTCCTCTCTGTCAACAGCCCTCTGTTATTCCCTGTGATCCATTCATGCTGAATTTTTCAAGAGTGTCTCACATGCCGGGGCCTTTTATATTCCCTATGATGGAACTCTCTGACCATCTTTTTTTTGCCTGACAAAACTCTTCTACTTCCTGACACAACTCAACTTCTCTCTCCTCTGTTAATCAGCCTTGACACTACTGCTCCAGGCAAATGCCAGTGGCTGCGTTTCCTGTCAATGGTTAAACAAAAATTATGGGAGCCCATTGTTTTGGACTGAGTTCCTACACCGGGTCCCAACAGATCAGACCAAACCAAAATGGAGTCACTCATGCTAAATGCCACACAATGAAACTGAAATTGGAAGGCAGCAAATAAATCTCCACACAGACCAGTTTGTTTTTTCCTGAAAACAGGAGATTCCAGTTTACCTGAGTCATTGTAATAAGGAACACCCCTTTGCTTGAACCCTTAGGAAAAAGTAGCTTGAAGTAACCTGATGTTAACCAAGGAGCCTTTTCCTGATGTTCTGTTGCCTTGTTCCCATCTTATAAAACCCATTGCTCTGCTACTGCTCAGTGGAGCTCTAATTCTGTTTTGCAGAACGAAGGCTTAACCATTTCATGAATTGCAAATAAAAGCCCATTAGATCCGTATTATGTCTTTTGACTCTTTGTTTCCACATAGTTGGGTCATACCTCTATAAAAACACGCTGTAAAACAAGATAAAGTTGTGGCATCATGAAAATAGTTAACTCTGTAGTCAGAGAAGCCCAATTCCCAGTTGGAGCATTGTGCCTTTGAGCTATGCCTAGAAGGCCAATTTATTGAATCTCTCTTAATCTTAGTTTCTTAACATTCAAAAGGAAATACATATTTCTGCCTCACAATGTTATTATTAGTACTATATGTAATGGCTCTAACACACAGTAAATGCCCAATAAATGATGTTTTTCAAAATGTCTGTCAGTAGAAGAAAAAAAAACATTTATCTTATTCGTGCTTTGTGATTTAGCTAAACAAAATTCTCTTGTATATCTTCTATATCACGGAGGCTACTTTTATGTTTTCATCATGCAAACTAACTAGAGTTCTGATGTCATACTCCATCTTGGCAGAAATATTGTAATTGTAACCTGTCAAGGTATTTGCCACTTAGTTTATGCAAGAGTCTCCATTGTTAAACCTCCTTCTACCTCATCTTCTCTATTCCAACCCTTGGGCTTAGAGGGATCATTTATGCCCTCTGCTATTCCAAAAGTGACAGTCTTCACTCTGCCCTGGGGTTTCCTTCATCACTAGAATTGACTCATTAGACAGCATTAAAATTCATGGTGGTGGTAACAAGGAATCTTCAGCAATTATCAGGAATAACCTCCACTTGGCAAGGAATCCATTGTAGTAAATAACTTTTCACTGAAAAACCATTAAATAAAATGTCATGTAGATGTTTAACCATGGAATAAGAGATAACAATAGTAAAAATAAGTGAAGACTGGAACCTCAAATTCAAACAGTTTGTGTAACAAATGTGTTGAAACATCGAGTAGTTGCACTAGCAACATGGAAAGGTGCCATCTATATCCTAAGGGGTTATGACAATAAAACTCCTGATCTGTTGATGTGTTTTGGTTATGAACCCAGTAACAGTTTTAATTGTCTTATAATTATAGGAGGGGATATGGAATTAGAAAAGAAGGGTCTCTGTTACACATCTGTTGACTATGCAGTACGGCTAGGAAGGGCTTTCATTTTTAGGACAAAATATTCAGTTCAATTATCAATAAGCACTTATTAATTAGCAGTAAATTTAATATAATAAAAAGCTAACACATGGGTAGGAGCAATGAAAGGCTTTGAAATATAGTATTATTCCGGCCGGGCGCGGACCATCCTGGCTAACACGGTGAAACCCCGTCTCTACCAAAAATACAAAAAACTAGCCGGGCGTGGTGGTGGGTGTCTGTAGTCCCAGCTACTCTGGAGGCTGAGGCAGGAGAAGGGCGTGAACCCGGGAGGCGGAGCTTGCAGTGAGCGGAGATCGCGCCACTGCATTCCAGCGTGGGCGACAGAGCGAGACTCCGTCTCAAAAAAAAATATATATATACTATGTATAGTATATATATATATATATATAGTATTATTCCCTACAATGTTAAAATATATTATATATATGTGTGTATATATATATACACACTATAGTGTGTGTGTGTGTATTCAACATATATAATATCACGATTTTATTATATAGGTATTTTATGTCAGCATCTTCGTCATAACAAAATTGTAACATTTATGCATACAGCAACAAATGAGAATGCAAAAATAGACCTTAATTTCAGAGTCAGAATATTCCTGCCTTCTATTGGTAACAGTTAGATATTTGCGAAAGAACCATAGTCTACAACTAAATTCTCAAAGACAGAACCATATGAACTATAATTTTATATGCTTTTAATTGGCAATTTTTAATACCTCATACTGTAATGGTGACTTTTTTATGCTAGAATACCTCCTCCGATTTTTCCTCCTGAGAAGGTGCACCACATATCATATGGCTGATTCCTGGCATTTTAATTTCAACCACCCTGGCTTTCGAAAAACACTGTACAACTCACAGTTTCTGTTTTTCTATCACTGTAACAGCTTTTTGAGATATGCAGCCATACACACTGTGCATTTCAGATTAGAATCTGTCCTCCACCCACCGCCAACATTTTTAATCATTTAGCTTTCTAGGAGCTTCATCATTTCTGTTAATGGAGAGAAGACATTTAAACATGTATGTAATAATTGTATTTGCAGTCTGATCCCTACTCTAACTCTAGCACAAGGACATTTGGTCATACATATTATGGCACCTTCTTTACCGTATCGCTTACTATTCGTTAAACAAGAGAGATTATTTTTTCATCTCTAAGATGATAAAATAACACACATATTTGGGGATTAAATTACTTGACATATCTGTCTCAGAAATAATTTCCTTTAGATAGCTGTACTATTTACTTTCTAGTGATTAACAACTCATTCAGAAAACACATTTTGTCATTTGAATTGGCGATTTTAATTTTGCCAGAGATTTTGAAACCAGCTGTACAAATTGACTTGAAACAGTTTTGTATTTTTCCTTAACAGTAGAGTCTCAACCTTTCCAACTGTTTTTAAAGTGACAAAGGACAATTATAAAATTCCACTAATATTTTTGTGTTGGTTATTTTAATAAAGATTGTGCTTATCTTTTCACTCAAAATAACAAGGGGACTCAAAATAACAGTAAATGATCATAATAAAATCACTTTTCTAAAAATAATTCCCTATGTAACTATACCCCTCCAAGTAATATTTCAATGTAGATATAACCAATATAGGTTATTTTCCCTCGACATCATTTTGGGAGATAATTTTTAAAAATTAACATTTCACACAATGTTCAATATGAACCTTATGTTTTAATTCAACTGAGTAACTGTTGTATTCAAGAAAGAAATAATAAAATTTTTAAAGCTTTTACTTTTCAAAAGATTAGTTTTCAAAAATAGAAAGTAGTTTATCCTTTCTACAAATATTCACTGCCATCATCACCTTTTCATGTATTAGTAATTGAGATATTTTTGATACATCTTAATCTATAGATTGATTTGAAAAAATATATAAATCTATTTCGAATACACATTTGTTTTAATGCATATATGAGGAGAATCAGAGTGATTCCTCTCTCAAACTTATAAAAATTTAAAACCCAAGCATATGACCAATAGAGAGTTTGAAATTTATGCCAAATCTGGTTTCAAATACACTTTCTCTGCACATTTTTCTGATCCTGTTAGTTTTATTTCCTCTGGGAGGATAATGCAAAAAACTTGGAACTTACTGTTGATTTTATTTTCTATGTGTTAATATAAATATATACATGTTGAGCTAATAACATGAAGTGAATATATTTTTTTGGTCTAGAAATGAGTTTCACAATAAGAGAAAAAATATTGGGCCGGGCACGGTGGCTCACGCCTGTAATCCCAGCACTTTGGGAGGCCAAGGCAGGTGGATCATGAGGTCAGGAGATCGAGACCATCCTGGCTAACATGGAGAAACCCCGTCTCTACTAAAAATACGAAAATGAGGCGGGCGTGGTGGCATGTGCCCGTAGTCCCAGCTACTCGGGAGGCTGAGGCAGGACAATCACTTGAACCTGGGAGGCAGAGGTTGCAGTGAGCCGAGATCACGCTATTGCACTCCAACCTGGGTGACAGAGTGAGACTCTGTCTCAAAAAAAATAAACAATACAAAATATTGAAGAATAATTTCTCAATCTGTACTGCTGGATTGGTGAAAATATATTTACTTAGAAAAACATGTGATTATGGCAAATTGTGGAATGATGAGATGGAAAATATAGGCCCAAATTTAAAACTATGGCAAAAAGAAAACATTTTAAAATTCATTTCCAGCAGACTAGAATTTAGTCTTCAAAGACTCCAAAGTCAAGTCATTAAATAATAAGGCAGTTTTTATTGGGTAGAAATGCGGGATATGCAATATAATTAGATAGTAGGCCCTGGAGGATTTACAGGATTTAGGAATTTTTTAGAGTTAAAGAGCTAAATAAGTCAGTATTAAAAGACCTACCCTTGATATGAATAAATCCCACATCTGTAAGCTGTTTTGGAATTTTGCTTTGAACCTTGTGAGATGCTGAAATGCAACAGTCCTTTCCCTCCAGTGGGCTTCATTTATCTTTAGTTATATTGGACAGTTGTGTGGTGTGCCTTTCCACTCTCCCTTTCTCTTTATATATATATTAAATGTCTTTTTCTTTAAATGTATGTACCAAATCATTTAAATTAAGTGCTAACATATTTTCAATACCAAGAGATTATTTTCAGATTTTAAATGTTGCATCACAGAAATTTTGTACCACTTTCTTTCTCTTGATTTAAAATGGAAATATATTTCTTTCACAACTTGCCTTCTCAACATAGGTATAATTTTTCAAAGTATTTATAATGAACTTTTAATTTAGGAAGGGAAAACAAAAACAATCTGATTCAACATGTGATAGGGAATTTTTTAGGCACAAAATTCAATAACGGACCAAAATACGTTTTGTACTCCGATAGGCATTCTGAGGCATTGTTTAGATTTATTATATTTCTCTCCAGTTCAATCTCATCTTGTAGCTTTTCTTGTCTCCCATGGGCCCATTTCTCTTGGTTTGCTTTGTCTTCAGGTCTATATCTGGAAATCTCCTTTCTTTATTTTCCCTTATTCTTTCTGTACAAGAGGTTTCTTTATTTAAGCGCTTTCTAGTCATTTTAATGTTTTTAAACAAATAAAAGAGGGCTGCGTGCATGTATTAATCCATTTTTAATAGCCACTACTGAAAGACGGGGCATTTTCTTGGTGTTGTTTTGAATTGCTATTATCTAAAAAGAGGTTTATTTTTATCAATATCTATTGTGACATCCAGTTAAAATGACAAAGACTCCCACGCTGAGCAAACTGAAGCAACCCTTGAGTTCACTGAATAAAAGCCTGAGACTGGCAGCAGAGGATTTTTAAAATATATTTTTGTTCATATTCTATTGATGCTATGGTTCCCCTTAAATAATTTTCATGTACTATTAAGAGAACATGGTATTTAGTATACAGATAACTTTTTCACAATGTTATTAAGTTATGTAAGAGTTGGTGCATTGCTGCCATCTATGGACAGAAAAGTGAATATTAATTTTAACTCTAAATTGACATTTTTACATATATGTACATTACCTTTTATAAACCTCTAGAGAATAATTATACATTTATTAATACATGCAGAGAGAGTCTACTTACTAACATCTATTAAAGTTCTGAAAATAATTAATCTGAGAGAAACCAATTCAGGGAGCACAGGTACCAATATCATAGCACTGTATGGCTATAGTGTATTAGCTGACAAATATTTTCACATACCCATCTTTCAAGATTATACAGGGAAGAAATACAATTATTTATTAGCCTCACTTTAGAAATCAAGACGCTGAGGCTAAGAGAGTGTCAGTGATTTTGTCAAGTCACTGAACTGATCAAGGAAAGAATTTGCTTGAAAGCGTCTACTGGTCCATTCTCTGGGATCTCTTTGTAATCCTTCACAGTGCCTGGACTTTCATAACACTTACTCCTTAGTCCTTGCTCAAGTAAACCGTTAAGTATTGGCCATTGTTACATAATCAGAGCTCTGTTCATTCATTCGCAAATATTTGAGGATCTACTCAGAAGCAGAAAGTGTTCTAGGAATTGAGAGACTGCTGGGATCAGGAAAGACAAGGTCCCTGAATTCTTTAAGTTCACGTTTTAGTGCAGAGAGATAGAACAAAAGTGTGTACATAAATGGATGGTCAAGATCACTTCAGAAAGTGGTAAGACCTATTCAAAAAGTATAACTGAGTGATATGATAGCAAAGATCAGGCATTGCTAATCATTATGGAAATATAAAAGAAATAAAAGTGCAGTCAATCCTTTCAGGAAATTATAACCAAATTAATAAGGCAAAACAAATGATGCTATAAATTATGGTACAATACAACAATATGAATATCAGAAAATAGTTTGAAAAAGCACGTCACTGTATTTATATCTCACCCTGTGCTTTACAGGTACCGAATTAATAAAGCTCAGTACTGGCTAGAATGCTAAAGGATGGCTTCATAAAGGTCAGAGGTCTCAGCGAAATCACAAAAATTGTTATGACTACATTACTGAGGCAGAGGAAACATTTTTTGCAAAGGCTTGAATCTGGGGAATAATGAACAAATGAACCTTGTAGGATAAAGATACAGAAGCATATATATTTTCCAACATAGGCATTTAGAGCAACCTCAGGCTTTTTTAGATATTGCATTTCCCAAACCTTGCAGGTTTCTATTTTTGGCCTTGGCTCAGTTTCTAGAACCACATTTCTAAAAGAGTCTTATTTTGATCAAATTGGAGTTGTCTTTTTAAAAAAACAAAAATCCCATAATATTGATTATTTTTATGTGTGTATTCTGATTTACATTCCTGAAATACTTAAGAAGTACTGATTGAAAAATATAGCGAGGAAATTAGCATGTAAAAGGAAATATAACGTATCAAGTAAAAAATTAAGTAAATCAAGTAAATATCTGCTAATATGTGGTGGTCTCTGTATGATGTGGGGATTTCTTATTGAAATATTTCATCCTTCTTGTAACTGAATGTAACTTTCTATAATATGTCATAAAATATCTTATTTTTGTTTATTGATGAATTCAACTTCAATTCCAATAACAATAATTGATTACTTAGAAAAATATATGCACAGAGTCTTTGTATTCTAGGAAACCATAAACTAGTATGAGAAATTACGTATTTTTTGGAAATAAAAGATACAATTTTATTTCCTTGTTGTTAAGGGCTCCTCATTCCATTTCTAAAGTGCATCATTGAGGAATGTAACACTTTTCTAAATGTAAAGAATTCAGATCAAGTAGCCATAAGCAAATACATGGTAACTTTCTTCCTCTTTATTATGTTAGGTATGAAGGTAGGCACATAGATGTTTGAGATAGTGCCAATAGTTTTAAATGATTTGTAGATATATATTTACTTCCAAGTTACGTTCACAGAGTAGACATTTATCATTGAACTGGTTAATTGGTTCAGTGTAAATAATCCACCCTGAATCTAAAACTCAAAGTGGTTCTTTGGGTATGTAATTGAGCCAATGAATTGACAAATTGTCAGTTCATCTCTCTATGCAATTTGGCTGCACTTGACTCTCTGTATAAAGCAATGATACTAATTGAAAGCACTAGTACATTTAGCCATTACTCAGACACGACACACAGCAATAAACCAAATTTTCTAGTTTTATTCATCTATCATGAATAATATTATTGCTATGAAATGCATTATGCAAGCTATGTTCTATTTTCTTCAAAAATTACATAAAATGAAATCTGAACCACATATTTTTACAGCACATGCTATAATGAGCATTTTTTATTCAAGTCCTTTCAATGTTTTGCCCTGCTATTGAAACCTGACTGTTTTTTTTACTCCATTACTAACTTAAAATGATTGACATTGTTAAGAAAAGGACTATAATATACTGCATCTGAACTTTTTGATTTAAGTATTACTGTAAATAATCCTGCGCATGCCAGGGAAGCATGGATAACACTTCCTTCAGTTCTATTTCTAATTTTCTTAAAATACCAGGAGATGCTCTGCATTTTGTTCCTCCACATCAACTTTGTATCCATTATTTCCTCTTGTTTTTCTGAGTATGTCTGATTTCTTGCAACATTTGTTTTCTTATAGTTTTGTGATATACACACATACAGAGACATATGTAAATCAATTTAAGAGTAGGGTGTAGTAAAAGAAAGTTTTCTCATAGAAGGTATATTTCTGCTTTGAGGATTATTCATTAAAGTCTAATATATTATATATGTATTAAAGTCTAATATAGTTTATATATATATATATATAGAGAGAGAGAGAGAGAGAGAGATACTATGTATCAGTCTAATATATTAAAGATAAAGGGCAGGGAAGAAGGGAGGCAGGGAGTGAGGGAGAATGTTCCAGGACAAGAAATGAAAAATGAGAAAGACACATATGCAAAAATATAAAGGCATGGATAAGTTTAAGGTCTTATAGCAGCATCAATTAATATCAATTAATTTCTGGAGCATAAGATGCATGAAGAAAAATACAGAAATATGAACCCATAGAGTGAGATGGACGCTGAATCATGCAAGCCATTGAATGACATGCTGAGAAATATAGAGTTTATCATTTTTCAAAGGCATGGAGAGAAGAGATGGAAGGAAATACTTTGAAATATTTTGTCGAGAAATTATGAGATGGTTAGATTCTACTTGAGAAAAATCATTTGATTGAAGTATGGACAAGGGATTGAGTGGAGTCAGATAAATTAATAGTCCAGGTTATGATGACCTAATGTACTATCTTTAGGTATTTAAAAGAGGAGAGAGAAGTGTGGAACACTTAGATGACACAATCATCCAGGCCTGTTTACCAAATAAATGTGAGAGCTAAACAAGGCAGAAGGTTTCTAGGATAACCTTGTATTTACCGGCTTGAGCAGTTAGATGGATGATGATATCCTTAACTGTAATAAATAATATGCAAAAGGAACAGGTTTGGAGAAAAAAATGATTAATTCCTTTTAAAATATGTCAAATGTCCTAAATATGAAAAAAAAAAAACCCATATACAGTTAATTTTATCACCCAGGGAAAATAACAACTAAATATGTGCACAAATATCATTTTGAAACATCAGATGTGGGGGGGTATGAAACTCTGCCTCCCAGGTTCACGCCATTCTCCTGCCTCAGCCTCCTGTGTAGCTGGGACTACAGGCGCCCACCACCACGCCCGGGTAATTTTTTTTTTTTTTGTATTTTTTAGTAGAGACGGGGTTTCACCGTTTTAGCCAGGATATTCTCGAGCTCCTGACCTCGTGATCCGCCCGCCTCGGCCTCCCAAAGTGCTAGGATTACAGGTGTGAGCCACCGCCCCCAGCCTTCATAGCTTTTAATCTATTTTTTCAGGATGGTTGTGCCAAAGATTCACTTTTATTTCATTAGGGTGCAAACGTACAGTGACCACTGTCACAGAAAATATTCAAAGACCTTACAATCTACCAAAAACAATATAGCATGAAAATTGTTTTTATAGGGCTTTTAGGATATTTCCTAATTAATTTTATTTATTCATTTTTAAACATTACAGCTTTTTTTTAGATATGGGGCCAAATGTGCAAGCATGTTACATGAGAATATTGAATGATGTTGAGGCTTGGGGGTATGAATCCCAACAACCAGGTAGTAAGCATAGTACCCAATTAGTAGTTTTTCAACCTATGCCCCCTGCCTGCCTCTCCCTTCAAGTAGTTTGTAGTATCTTTGCTCCCATAATTACGTCCACGTGTGTTCCAAGTTTAGCTCCCACTTATAAGTGAGAACAAGTTCAATTTGGTTTTCAGTGCCTGTATTAATTCACTTAGGATTGTGGCCTCCATCTGCATCCATGTTGTTGCAAAAAACATAACTTCATTATCTTTATGGCTTCATAGTATTCCATGGTGCATATGCACCACATTTTCTTTATTCAATATACCATTGAGGAACACCTGGTTGATCCCATGTTTTTGCTATTGTTAATAGGGCAACAATGAACATAAGAATGCATATGAGTGTCTTTTTGATAGAATAACCTATTTTCCTTTGGTTATATACCCAGTAATGGGATTGCTGGGTCAAATGGTAACTCTGTGTTAAATTCTTTGAGAAATCTCCAGACTGCTTTCTACAGTGGCTGAACTAATTTACATTCCTAGCAACAGTGTATAAGCAGTCCCTTTTCTCTGCAGCTTCTCCAGCACCTGTTTTACATTTATTTTTATATATTTTTTTTATTTTTTTATTTTCTTGAGGCAGAGTCTCGCTCTGGCGCCCAGGCTAGAGTACAGTGGCCCGATCTCGGCTCACTGCATGCTCCGCCTCCTGGGTTCACGCCATTCTCCTGCCTCAGCCTCCCTAGTAGCTGGGACTACAGGCACCCGCCACCACACCCAGCTAATTTTTTTGTATTTTTAGTAGAGATGGGGTTTCATCGTGTTAGCCAGGATGGTCTCAATCTCCTGACCTCGTTATCCACCCGCCTCAGCCTCCCAAAGTGCTGGGATTACAGGCGTGAGCCACCACCCAGGCCCTATTTTTATTTTTTAGTGTAGCCATTCTGACTGGTGTGAGATGGTATCTCATTGTGGTTTTGATTTGTATTTCTCTGATTAGTGATGCTGAGCAGTTTTTCATATGTTTGTTAGTCACTTGTATGTCTTATTTCGACAAGTATCTGTTCATGTCCTTTGCCCATTTTTTAATGAAGTTACTTTTGTTTTGCTCGCAGCTTTTTATTTAGTCATTATGACAGATTTAGTCACATACTGTGGTTTTTATATTTCTCTCCTGGTAGATAATGTTAAACATATTTTCATGTACTTATTTGCCATCTGGTTTCCTTTTCAGTAAAATGTCCATTCATGTTTGGAATTTTGGGGGACTACAGACAATTTATGTTATTGCAGTAAACCAAAGGGAAGAGGATGGCAGCCAATACTAGAAAAAGACTAAGGGTAAGGAGGACAAAGATTCAATTTTAATACTGGTTCTTTGGAGGTGAGAATGTGAAGATGAGTAAATTCATGTATGACAGCCAGGTTTCTGATCAACTCATTATAAATTGAGTGGCCAATTCAATTGGTTGAGGAGGAAGTATAAGGGAAGGCATAAGAAGAAGAGAATAATCAAGAGATTTTAAAAAGAAGTTTGACATAGCTATAGAGATATGTGAGGGCACTTCATTATTTTATTCAAGAAATCGAGGTATCATTTTAGTATGTGATTCAATGTATTCATTGGATTTGGTTATTTCAATTTGTCATTAAAGTGTGATAGCCTAGGAATTGGTTGAGCTTTTCTGAAAAGGTGACTTAAGATGGAAAAATAAATGGCTAAAAACAAGAGACAAAAGCAGATAATCCACACAGGAACATTTTAAAATATATTGTACAATAAACACTTTCATCCCTTGTAATCAAAGAATAGAGCTTGATAGTCAGTCTGCCGATCAATACCTAATTCCTCATGTTTATTACATGGATTACTACATAATTGTAAAACCCTTCTTCAAACACAAAAACATAAATCATGTTCCTACATGTAACATGACATAGAAAATGAAGAGTACTTCTTTCTAATTTCATCTGCATATTTCAAATAAGAGTACTGTGAGGCTACAGTATCTAGACATTTGAAACAATTCTATGCAACAACTGGGGAAATTAGCGTCTTCTATACAAAGAAAGTGGAATACCACCCAATTTTTTTTACAACTTTGCTATATAAGAGCATGTAGTTTTGGGTTCTTGAACCATAGGAAAATAAGCTACAGATTAAAAGATCATAGACACCAAAAGACAAATACTGTCACAGGTGAATCCTTCCACGGTGAACCCTGCCACAAAGTCTGCAAGTTGCTAATGATTCAGTTGATGTTAACTTGATAACACTGGGCAAATGATTGTGCTCAGGAGGAGCTGAATAAGGTTTAAAGGTTAATGGCTGCTTGCGTAAGTATGCACATTGTATTTATATAGACATCAATTACCTTTATAAAGAATTGTTCCGGTGAGACTAGTAATTTCTAGTTACCAGGCTTCAAGCCTAGTCCTAGGATAAAAAGTAGGTCAGAGTATCATAAGAAATGTTCATACCATATTATCTTCATTGATGTTGGTGACTGTTTATGTGTTTAACAAATTTCAAAGTGAAACAAAATTTATACAATTTTAAAATACTTGTAAATTTCAAATATGCAAAGCATCAACTAAAACTTTGTGGGGTGATCAAAATAAAATACTGCAATGAACAATAGCAAGGCTTAAAGACTAGTGTGTTCTCTATAGTAGAGGCTAATTTAAATCTGCTAATTACTCAGAATAGTGAACACTATTTTGCATAATGTGCATTATTATTGAAATATGCTATGCAAAGCAAAAATATACAAGAAATAAATTAGTAAAAAAAGAAAAAGAAATTCTAGTACTATCATCCATTAATGATGACCATTATTCATATTTGCTAAACATTTAGTTTTTAAAATATATCGTGTAAATACCATTCCCATTACAATGCACTGTTAGGGTGCCTATCTTATTTTAAAAGTTTGGAAAATTTTATATTTCATGTAACAAATCTCAGGAGATAAATATTTCAATAATTTTCATTGACAGTTGTTTCAAATACGTTTTATACTTTTTCAACATGTAACTTTTGTGATCTGTCGATTTTTGTGGAAATGTTAAACTCTTCATCACTCCTGCTTTTAGTTGTTCAGGCCCACCCCCAACCAAAAGTTCAGCTAATGACTTCAGAATGGCTGTGCTTATTTGCATGAAGATACTGATATGCCAGGATTCTCTCAGATACTGATCTGTCAGTCAAACCCTTTATCTTGAATATAATATCTAACTTCCACGGTATAGAAAGCTGTCCATTTATCTAAGATGGTCCCAGGCAGGCATATGCTATCTTGGACTACATTCTTTCTTTAATATATAACCCATGTCTCTTGAATTGTCAGGTAATTTGAAAGGAAAAGTATCACTGCACATCTTTCTCATTCAAATTACATTGTCCATCTTCTTTCTCTTAGCCTGTACTCTGACTATATCTCCAGGAACTCTCTCAGCATATAAAATTAACTAGGCAAAAAATAGGAAAGTTACCTATACCAGTTATTGAAATATGAACATAAATTGTCAGTCCAATTCTTTTTCATAGTCTGACACATCATAAGAGCACATAAGCAATTTAACTATCCGTTATTGTATATCCAGGGAGTTTGGAATTTATAAGAGAAATGCTTATTTGGTAGGAATGCTCAAATTTTTAACTCTCTGAAGCAGAGAGTAGAACAGAAGGAAATATTTTGCTTTGGTTATCAGAAAAGCAGAGTCTCAATTAGCTAATAATGGGGGTGGGTGGGCTTGGAGCATAAAGCTAGTGTTTTCAGTGAAGTGGGACCAAACTATAGGAAGATGCAGGTTAGAGTGTCCCAGACTGTGCTATAATGAAGTGTGCTCCCATAAATGCATTCTGGGAACAACTTGAGTTGTGTGTGCATGTGTGAAACAGGCATGCACAGTTTTGAGTTATGTTTTTAATTGAAAAGGGTTATTGGGAAAATGAAAGAGGTAATGAATTCATTGAAAATTCATCTTGTAGCTAGTTCGGGAATTTAGATCATAGTTTTAACTTGGCTTGGGCTGTTGGGTTCGTTAGAAAATTTTAAGTAGGAGTTTTCCTTGGAAAAAAGCATCTATAGTTTAGTAAGATATGTGGAGGTTTGTGTGACCATGAAAACATAATGACCACTGATTTAGTGAAAATAGAGACAACCCAAAATTATTCTGGACATTTTTTGGGCCTTCTATTATCTAATAGAATTCATAAAAGTCACACAACAAACACACGATATGAATTTTGGGCAATTCTTGTTTGTTTGACTGGATTACTATTTGTTTGACTGCGTGTTGGAGTTAGGTTGCCAACAGTTTGAGACTGATTAGGAGAGCAACAGGAGCATGCAGTGATTTGACACATAGGGAGGAAGCCAGGATAAAATAGAAAGTAGAAGGAACTCACAAATGTCTCTTGGTAAACGGCCTGTTTGTTTTAATTTTATTTTTTTATTTGTATTTTTTATTAACCACTCCCTACTCCTATTACTACTTAAGATAGAAAGTACCTTGTTCTTGCTGCCTTAGGTGGTATTGGCATCTTCTCTACACATTGGGAGAAGCCCTCCAGGCGTAACATAAACTGTTTTATTGTGTGGTGTGTTTGTGTGCACGCGTGTGTATTTTGTTTCGTTTTGTTTTGTTTGTTTGTTTTTTGAGACAGTCCTGTCAGTTGCCCAGGCTGGAGTGCACTGGAGCGATCTCTGCTCACTGCAACCTCAGCCTCCTGGATTCAAGTGATGCTCTCACCTCAGTCTCCTGAGTAGCTGGGATTACAGGCATGCACCACCACACCCGGCTAATTTTTTGTATTTTTAGCAGAGATGAGGTTTCGCTATGTTGGCCAGGCTGTTCTCAAACTCCTGACCTCAAGTGATCCACCCGCCTCGACCTCCCAAAGTTCTGGGATTACAGGCTTGAGCCACTGCGCCCAGCCTGTAAACCTTTTTTACATATTGTTCTAAATATTGTTTCCAAAGACAACTTGAAAGTAACAAAGTTTTAATTTGTTGTGTGTGTGTATGTTGGTAGTGGTGGGGTACTTCATTTGTTTCCTATTTACAAGGAGGAATTAAAAATAAAGGCATTTGGTCTCAGTATCGGCCTTAAGAAAAAAAGACTTCAAATAATTTGTAATGACTATGGAAAGGCATAGATTTGGGGGGAAATTACAATAGAAAAACTATTTACATAGTCCAAATTATACCTTATAGGAACCTTTAGTATTTTTCATTAAATTGATCAAGCTTGGAGAATACGTGAAAATGAACACTTTAACATGTTTGATAAACATGATATAATATATTTAATTAGGAGACATCTGTTTACCAGACTGATGTTTGTGCAAATTATTCCATAAGCTGCTCTTTTATCAGCTTATGCTGATGCAGGTTAGAGTGCCCCAGACTATGCTATAATGAAGTGTGCTCCCATAAATGCATTCTGGGAACAACTTGAGTTGTGTGTGCATGTGTGAAACAGGCATGCACAGTTTTGAGTTATGTTTTTAATTGAAAAGGGTTATTGGGAAAATGAAAGAGGTAATGAATTCATTGAAAATTCATCTTGTAGCTAGTTCGGGAATTTAGATCATAGTTTTAACTTGGCTTGGGCTGTTGGGTTTGGACATCCTATCACGGTCTTAAAAGATGATTCTAGATATTGGATTATACATATTCATAAATATCAATATACGTCTAGAATGTGATATTTTTCAGAGTGGATTATAGCCAGCTAACAGAGAGATGTGAGCAAGCAAGAAAAAAAGAGAAAGTAAAAAGAAGAAAGAAAGAAAAATAAATTGAACTTGGAATCTATAGAAAGAGCAACAATGAGCTCTAGTGGCAGGATGTAATAATGTCAAGCATGGGTGAAATTCAGCCATGATAGACAGTTTTCCCTTCATGCATTTAGTAAAGATTTCTCAGTCCTCAAAAATGAAGATTAATTTGTAGAAATAATCATTCCTCTAAATCACAATCTCATTAACTTCTACATAACATTAACTACCTGGGTAGTATGTTTATAATTTAAATATTGCATTAATTTGTCTGTTATGGTTTTTTTTTTTTTTTTACAAAACAGCACCAACATGATTATTCTATTAACAACATATTTTATGTTTGAGATGACATAACTTATACTGCATCTCATCAAGTCATTCTTAAGTTAAACTTGGATTTTAAAAGACTATTGATTTATGTGCTCAGCACTTGATAATATATGTGTACCATCTCCTCCCTCTGCTCTACCATCTGCTCCCTTCACGCACAAAGGCAAATTTTTAAAACAAGAAAAGTGCTTCTTCTCTCTCAATCTGACAAAACTATATTTTAATTCTTTAGTTCAAGGCAATGGCAATGTTCAAATATAACTTACTACTTATGCGCCAGACATCAGTTGAAAGAAGGCCTGAGTTTTTATCTGCTCTTACAACTTTGGACAAAAAGGAGGTTTTATGTATTTATTTTTGGTGTGGTCCTTTTATCTTCAAGTTATTTTAATTCCAGGTAGTTAATCATAGGAGCAACTAATGTGTCTACCTTCATGTAGAATTTTCAAAACTCTTTATTCATGGAATACTTATTAAGTAATCAACATTTATTAGGAACTGTGATAGATGTTAAATGATGTTTATTCAGTGTTATACAGAATTTTCTCTGAACAGCAATGATTATTTTATTCACATTAACCCCACTTTCCTTTAGGAATACTAAAGTTTGGAGAGTTTAAGTGAAACACAAAGCTTGTAAATTTTAGATCTCAGCTTTGAACTCAGATAACCTGTCTTCAAATCCTGACTTTTTTCTACCACACCTCACTGCTACTATCTCAGTTATTTTTTAAGGCAATTTATCCTAATAGATATATCAATACTGCTACCAAATATACTGCTATATTAGACTTTACTATTTATAACCTGTTCTATTATTCTCTTTAATCCTATCAGAATAACCCCTGAACGTAAGGTAGAAATGTTATTTCACTCATAAAGTTTTCACTGTGAAAAAGGACTTTTGAACAACAAAAAAGGATGCATATGTTAATTAGCTATATTTAGTCATTCTGAAATGTTATATACTTTAAAACACCATGTTGTATGCTGTAAATAGCTACCATTTAATTTGTCCATTTGAAAATAATAAAAATAAAAAATAAAATACATTTAAAAATGCATCTGATCTTAACTAACACATGAAATGAAATAATCAATGCCTTAATCCTGAAACAGAATGTGGCTAGCTATGCTTATGTGAACTAGAGAAAAGTAGGAGACGAAGAGAGGGGGCGCTTAACTCAGGTATGATATATCGTTCACATTTTTTACAACACTTTCAATTGCAAGTCTAAATTAGTCAGGGATTTTTATCAGATCCAAACGGAAGGAATTTTGAACATGGGCAGTTCTACCATATGGGATAACAGCATGGGGCACATGACAACCTCTTCCCACTGGACAGGAGTGTAGAGGGTTGCTTAATACCTGCTAAGTACATCAATTAAAAATCCTTACTACTTGTAAGAAAATGGCATTTAAGAATCACGTTATTTCACAGCTGTTACATTACTTTCCCTGCAGAATTATAAAACTACAAATCCCACTTCAGTCCAGTCTGGAGAGATTACCTGTCATGTTTTACCCAACAGGCATATTGTATCTCAGAAAACCTTCTGGACCAAATTTGTACATTAGTCTCAAGTTAGCTTCTAAATCAACATACTTCAGTAATTTTGCCTAATCAAATTTTGTGTAAATAAAATAACATACTTCAGTAATTTTGCCTAATCAAATTTTGTGTAAATAAAATAAACACACAAACAAGAATGATAGTAGAATCTACAGCTCAGTTAATGTGATGGGGTTGGGAACTTTCAATTCTCACACAACCCCTTTGGATCGTTACCTTGAAACTTTCACTTGAATATTTCACTAACAAAATACAGCTGTGACATGTTAAGATCAGCAAGGAAAGTTCCTCTATGTCGAATCAATTTCAATTCCTCCTGTTTTCTTTTCCTTGCTCATCATCAGTTTTGAACACCGCTAAGGGCAGGGCACTGAGCGCAGTGGCAGAGACAGCCTGACACACTTTCCCTTCACATTTTCAGTAGCTCACTGAGAAGGGCTGAATCAGTGGGGAAAATAATTGAACTGAAACTTCGAAGACTTCTCGGTGTGGCAAAGTTGTAACTGTTTCCCATTAAATATTAAAAATAAACTTAGATGAATTATTCACTTAAAAATTCTATAAATCTATGATTTGTTCAGTGTTAAATTAAGGCTTCCTTTAATGTATTTGTACATTTTTAAATTGAAAATAGGTATCATTGTTGTCTAATATCAACATTATTTCTTATCAAACAGTTTTATTTATGCTCTGAAAGATCACTTAATTGTCAATATAATTACATTTCAGAAAAGACAATAATTAAGACATTTCGAGTTAAGACTACGCCACTATCAAACGGCATTTCTTTATGTAAATCTCTCACTCTGTCTTGCTCTTGTCACTCTCACATTCATTCTCTATCTAATTTTTTCTCTCTCATATTAGGACACTGGGGTACCTACAATTCAATACACTCTTTTATAGTTAATTATCTGGGTTCATCAGTTTCTAATTTTTTTATTTTTATTTTTTATTGTATTATTATTATTTTTTGAGATGCAGTCTCACTCTGTTGTCAGGCTGGAGTGCAGTGGCGCAATCTCGGCTCAGTGCAATCTCTGCCTCCCGGGTTCAACTGATTGCCCTGCCTCAGCCTCCCGAGTAGCTGGGGCTACAGGTGAACACCACCATGCCAGGCTAATTTTTTGTATTTTAGTAGAGACGGGGTTTCTCCATGTTGGCCAGGATGGTGTCAATCTCCTGACCTCGTGATCCACCCACCTCGGCCTCCCAAAATGCTGGGATTACAGGTGTGAGCCACTGCACCCGGTCCTAAATTGTTTTTACATTTTAGTAATTCTAAACACATTCACTATTACAGAAGGTCAAACATTAATTCTTTTAAATTGCATAACTTTAGCTCCTTCATTAGCTTCTCCTTTAGCATCTGTAATATATTGCTTCATTTATTTTCAAACTACCATCATTTAGACAGTTTATGAGCTTCTAAGCCTGGTCAAAATTTTTTTATTTATAAATTTTTAACCAATAGACTGCTGTGTTTAACATGAATATCTTTCAAAAATGCCTTTGCCTATCAAATACAGAAATATAATGACATTTCAAGGACCCAACATTTATATAGGGCAACCAAATATTGTAAAAATACATTTAAAATGTGTTACTGAGAATATTTTCTAATGGACATTAGTGTTGTACTGTTTTATCATTAAATTCTTAAAATTACATAAAACAGATAGCAATAAATCATTACAAAAAGATAATATGCCCAGTTCCATTTAGACAGTGATTCAGGTGAGGCGATTAGATATTCAAAAAGTTTTTCTTCACTTGCCCTGACCCTACTATAAATCAATTTATTCTCACAAAATAAAACTGATGTTAACAAACCACATCTACTATGTGCTGACCACAAAGCTCTTCTCTACTTACTAAGAAAATATTTTAATGAGAAACATGGTAGATCCAATAACACTGGTACATTGATTTATTTTGGAATACTAGCCTGCATCTCTTCAACTTTTCCCATAGCAAGGAATGAAGTGATACTTTTTTTCTTTTGGAAATATAAAAAGTCCTTCAGGATGTACCCCTAGGTTGACTTTCAAGGAATTGCTCTGGAATTTTGATTCAGACCTTTCTATTCTGTGAGAGATGCCATTGCAGTTGGTCACAAATAAATTACACCAGCTTGTTGCCCATCATTTATAATATCGAATAATGAACACACCTCAGTGTCACCTCATAATTCCTAGCTAAAAACAGAATCTAGAAATAGATATAATCAAACTTCTAGCTACAGGAAATGCAGTACCCAGGATATGTATTTATTTGTCTTTAAACTTTTCTTTAAGCCTGCATAGAAATAATTGAGGCAAGTCCTAGGGCATTGTGCTATTAATAATTCAATAGTACTGACTGTGCAAGTAGTGACATATCGAGCAATGAAAATCTGGCAATTCATATTAATTGATATCCTCTAATAAGCTTCTCCAGGGCATCTTTACTAGTTTGTACCACCTTTCAGCCAGACCATTTGCTTGAGGGCATTGAGATTTAATAGTAAAAGTCTGAATATATATTTCCTTTTTATCTTAAATGAAATCATTGAAGACTCATTTTCAGGAAGAGTAGAGACTACCAACTCATTTAATGCTAATAAGAAGTACAGATATATAATTAGAGAAGTTGAATTTTAAATTAAACTGGAAACACATTTTTTTAAAGAGGTTGTTTTCTAAGATTAAAACAACCTTTTTAAAAAAGTCATTCCACAAACTTCTTGAATTTCAATGGCAAATAGGATGCCTACTGTAAGATTACCCTGAATATCAGTATTCTTTTTTTGAGGTCATTGTCATTACACAATTAATTAAAGACAATTGACAAAACTTCTTCCTAAAGAGCGATAGTGAACAATTCTTAAACTTGACACAATGAGTGCATCAAGACAACATGAGATTATCATCTGAAGGAAAACTATGTTTTCATCAAAACACAGAAATTCCACAGCTAAATTGCTCATGTTAAAATCTAAAAATTTTTTTTGTTTCCTCAAGTAACTTATATGCCAGTCACCAGCTTCACATTCAATGTGACATTTCCTTTTTAAGAAGTGGCCCACTCTAAAATCCTGTGCAGTTACCAATGTGATCTGATTGGCCTGAAAGGGTAGGTCAAAGAAGACTCCTTATATAATTCCCAGGGAAGTTGACCCAGTACAATCTGAGAATGTCAGTGGCAGATGGCTCATAGAGTCTTCCTGAGCTATTACTCCCTCAGGCTTTGAGACAGGTGTCTGGTGATAAGCATTGAACAACAACAACAAAAATCTACACTGAATGCATAGTACCACAATTAAGGGTTTAAGCTTAGAAAATAATTCTCAAATAGAATTATGATCCATCTATGCTAGAGGCAACTGTAAGCACTGGTTGCTTTTTAAAGACAGAGACAAAGATAAGTAGTTCTTGATTTTGTGATTCTTGATAATATCAGTATCTTCACCCTTGAAAAGTAAATAGATCTCCTGTAGCTTCATGGGTCCTTAGTGGAATGCGTAAGTTGATGTCTCAGTGATGGCTCTAGGGAATGGTTGAATATCACTGAATTTGGACATTTAAGTGAAAGACTTGATTAATTTGTATAACTCATAAATTATTTGTCTTAGGGCCTTTTACTTAACCTGTATATTTTTCTTGGCTTTCTTATCTGTGAAACAGAAGACAAATAACATGTCTGTCTAAGGGGGATGTTGAAGAAAAAAAGGATGTGGAAACTTACCCTTAAACTTAACGCTTAAAAGAGTACTTCTTGTAATAAAATGTAATCTGTATGTCTATTTCTTGAGTTAGCTTCAAAAGTATTGTTTTATAATTCTAGAAATTTTGAAATGGTCATTCATTGTTAGGAAATAATATTATTCACCTTTAATTGCATATGAGATTTAAGACCTTTGTAATAAGTATATAATATTTATAGTATCATTATAGATGTTAGATAAATGGAATTCAGTTGAGAAAAAATTAAGACAGGTAAGAATGGCATACAGATATGTATACCACATGACTCTATTCATCCCTATGATCCCAGCACAAGTTTGCTGCCTTTAGTAGGTAAATAAAAGAGAACAATATTTTCACAATATAACATTCATAAAAATAAAATCATAGATATTTAAAATAAACATAAGTTTTCTTATTGCTGAGACATTTTCATAAAGACTTCAGAGTAATTAGTGAAAAGTCCTTGAAAACATTTTCACAATACATGCAGTAAAGGATTTATCTGACTTTTTATAGAGAGTCTCTAACGCATGTAGATAATATAATAAGGGAACACTTAGGATCTAAATCGCTGTGATGTTTTATTTTCTGTTTATTGAGATGTCATATGTTGCCACTATTATAATCTCTTGTGACAACAATGGTGACTAAGAAATGTATCATTGCCATCTTTATGGTGTTTAAATTTTGTGCAGTGAGATGAAAATTAAATCACAAGTACGTAAATAATATAATTCCACATTGTGATCTGTGCTGTGAAAGAAATTTGAAAAGAGACATGAGATAAGATCAAACTGGAACTATCCATGTGAAAGATGTTTGGTGGCTGCATTAGCTAGAATGGTAAAAGAAAGGTTTTACAATTAGGTGAAACTTAACCTGGGAACCAAATGATTAGTGTAAGCATTTAGGTCTGGACAGGGTAAATCCAGAGGTAATGCCTTCAGAGAGAAAAAAATGGAATGCTCAAAGGACCAGAGCAGAAATGAGATTGATATGTTCAACAGAGGAAGAAGGGCAGTGTAGGTAGACGCGGCAGATGGTGAACAGTTCTTAAGCTTGACATATTGAGTGCAATCAGTGTGAGAGGAGGTTGAAGAAACAGACTAAATCAGGCCATGTTTGGCCTTTTAGGCTAGATTAGCATATGTAAATTTCATTTTAATTTGTAATAAGGACTTATCGTAGGTCTCTAAGAAGAAAAGGGGTAGCACACAAATTTAGCTTGATAAAAATTTTTAAATTAAAATTATAAAATATAAGAGAAGTACATTGACTATTTTTACTCAATTCTTCCATACAAGTTACTTATTTTAACTTGGCTTTGTCAAAGATTTGAAGGTATATTGTTAAATTTATAATATGAATAATATTTGAAGAGTAGGAATATTTTTCTAGCTGACCAAAATTAATTTTGAATTCATATATTGCAATTTGTTGCAAGGTTACATGTTACAATTCATAGAGTTTATCCCAAACACGAATAATACTCTCTCTGGTGGTGAACCAGCAAGATACCATAATCTTCAAAGCAAAACGATGTTTGAAAAATAAATATTTACAGTGCACTGAGAGGAGAAAAATGTTAATATGTCCAAAATATTCTAGAAAGTATCTTCATATAGCTAAGTAAAATGTAATATCATGCATCCTTCCAGTAAGCAATGAAGGAGCTAGGAAATCACTGCATTTATTCAGATGTGATAGACATCAGATGTCCTATTATGTCTTACGGAACTTGCTAAATTGTTTCTGAAGTAGACTCACTGTGCTTTCATACAATTTCTTTTGGAATTTGATGAATAGCAATAATATTAATACTGAAGGCTAATAAAGTTACAGTGAACATGTATTTTCAAGCCTCTATAGGTGACTTTTTTTTTTTTTTTTTTCAGACAGAGTCTAGCTCTGTCGCCAGGCTGGAGTGCAGTAGTGCAGTCTCGGCTCACAGCAACCTCTGCCTGCCGGGTTCAAGAGATTCTCCTGCCTCAGCCTCCCGAGTAGATGGAACTGCAGGCACATATCACTATGCCCAGCTAATTTTCTTTTTTTTTTTTTGTATTTTTAGTAGAGATGGTGTTTCACCATGTTAGCCAGGATGGTCTCGATCTCCTGACCTCGTGATCTGCCCGCCTCGGCCTCCCAAAGTGTGTTTCTTACTTTTTAACTCTACAGGATGCATGAAGATGACATGAGTTTACATGTGGATGTGTGTATCATCAGAACATCGGTAAAAAGAAAACATCCTTCTTCTTATACAATTAACATATGTTTATTTATGTGAATATTCATACTTTGAACAGCTTCATACTTTAAACAGCATTCGTACTAAAAACTGTGTCTTTAATTTCTGTGACACCATGTAACTGCATATTTTCCCTCATGGGAAATTCAAATCTCTTAATATTAACTGTCCATTGTCAAACTACTCCTCTTACCTTACCTCAAATAACTCGTATGCTCATTCCTCACATTTCAGCACCATAGGCCCTTTTCTTTGTTTCTTTCTTCTATTCTTTTTTGCTGTTGTTTGTTTTTAAAGCCATATTGTTTTTCATTTTGTAATCCTGCGTCCCTAACTTAAATGTTCTCTGCTCATGAAGTCTTTTGCTAACACAACATTCCTTCAGACCTTTCTTTCCTTTACAGTTTCCACCTTCTTTTAATTATATAATGTCACTCATTTAACTTAGTTCTTATATTGTTTTTCTCATTTGATGTCTGCCTCTTGTTCCACTCCTCACTTGCAAATATAAGTATGTAAGAACCACATAGAAGTTTATATTTCCCATTCTGGAACAGTGCCTGGCTCATGTTAAATATTCAGTACATTTTGCTGAATGAAGGGTATTGTAGATGGAAATAGAGTTCCAACAATCCAACTTCATGGTTCTTTAAATTGTCTTCTCTTTAGTGAAGAAAAGGGCCTGAGTGACCTTACTAGGATATATTTAGGTCCCAAAAACTGATGGGTGTTTTTGCTTTCACATGAAACGAAAATTGCTTAAACTTTAACCCAGGAAGCTATTGAAGTCAAATAAAACATAGAGACGCATTTTTTTCAATGAAAACATTTTATTTGGGAAGAAAGAATGGCAATTTGGGGCATGCACGCACACGGGGTGGTCTTAAGTATGTCTCAAGAATAAACAAAAGGTTAGAGGTTTTATTTAAAAAAAGGGAAATGTTATGCTTTGTTCTTTGAGAAAATTCATTGCCATTAGTAAAGTGTTAGGGAGCTGGCAGGTTTTGACTGGCAAGTGAGGGCCTTAGATAAAACATTCAAGGTTGTTTCAGTGGCCATTAGATAAAACTGGTTTCAGGTTACGACAGGCAATTTCAGCAACTTGGCTTGTAGGAAATTATCTTCCTGGAGCAATGTTATGTGCTCTGAGGGCTTTCTCCCCCTGGCTTTTTGGGTCTGTTTTAATTGGGTATGACAAAAATGACCTAATTCATACGACCAAATTTCATAAAGCAATTTGACTACTGTAAGTATCTGTAACGGATTCCAATGTAGCCATTTTAAGCACTGAGTATGCTCAAATACTAAGAGTTCAATAAGACTTTCTCACCATTGGCTAAATATAATTATGCTGTCTCCTTCTTTTTTGACAAACCCTCATCCTTACTGACAACAGATTATTTTGGGAAATTGTGAAGGAACACAGGATGAGCAGACTTTCGTTAAACAGCCTTCATTTACCTAAATGACAATCTAAACAATAAACAAATGAAAATCTAATTATAATCTATTTCAAACTTTTGAAAGAGAATATAGTGAAAGCATAGTGTATGTAAATACACCTTACAGCTCCATGTTTGCTTTTTCTTTTTAACTTTTATTTCAGGTTAAGGGGTACATGTGGAGGTTTGTTACATAGGTAAACTTATATTACGGGTGTTTGTTGAACAGATTATTTCATCACCCAGGCACTAAGCCTAATAACCAATAGTTATTTTTTTCTGATCCTTTCCCTCCTCTCACCCTCCACTTTCAGGTACACCCCAGTGTCTTTTGTCCTCCTCTTTGTGTCCATGTGTTCTCATCATTTAGCTCCTGCTTGTAAGTGAGAACATGCGGAATTTGATTTTCTGTTCCTGTGTTAGTTCTCTTAGAATAATGGCCTCCAGCTCCATCTATGTTCCTGCAAAAGATAGGATCTCTTTTTTATGGCTGCATGGTATTCCATTGTATATATGTACCACATTTTCTTTATTTAATCCACCATTGATGGGCACCTAGATTGATTCCCTGTCTTTGTTATTATGAATAGTGCTACAGTGAACATACAGGTGCAGGTGTCTTTACGGTAGAGTGATTTATATTCCTTTGGGTACACACTCAGTAATGGGATTGCTGGGTTGAATGGTAGCTCTGTTTTCAGCTCTTTGAAGAATTGCCACACTGCTTTCCACAATGGTTGAACTAATTTACACTCCTACCACGGTGTATAGGTATGTCATTTTCTCCACAATCTTGGCAGATTCTGTCATTTTTTGACTTTTTAGTAATAGCCATCTGACTGGTGTGAAATGGTATCACATTATGGTCCTTATTTGCATTTCTCTAATGATCAGTGATATTGAGCTTTTTTTCATGTGCTTGTTGGCTATGTATGTCTGCTTTTGAAAATTATCTGTTCATGTCTTCTGTCCACTTTTTAATGGTTTTTTTTTGTTATAAATTTGTTTAAGTTTCTTATAGATGCTGGATATTCGACTTTTGTCAGTACATAGTTTGCAAATATTTTATCCTATTCTGTAGGTTGTCTGTTTATTCTGTTGATAGTATCTTTTGCTGTGCAGAAACTCTTAAGTTTAATTAGATCTCATTTTTCAATTTTTGCTTTTGTTGCAATTGCTTTTGGCATCTTGTCATTAAATCTTTGCCCATGCCTGTATAAAAAATGGATATTGCCTAGATTGTTTTCCAGGTTTTTTGGGGTTTTTTTTTTTGTTTTTTTTTTTGTTTTTGAGACAGAGTCTTGCTCAGTCACCCAGGCTGGAGTGCAGTGGCGCGATCTTGGCTCACTGCACGCTCTGCCTCCCGGGTTCACACCATTCTCCTGCCTCAGCCTCCCAAGTAGCTGGGACTACAGGCACCTGCCACCACACCTGGCTCATTTTTTTGTATTTTTAGTAGAGACGGGGCTTCACCGTGTTAGCCAGATGGTCTCGATCTCCTGACCTTGTGATCTGCCCGCCTCGGCCTCCCAAAGTGCTGGGATTACAGGCATGAGCCACCGTGCCCAGCCTTCCAGGGTTTTTATAGTTTGGGGTTTTATGTTTATGCCTTTAATCCATCTCCGGTTAATTTTTGTATATGGTGTAGAAAGGGGCTCAGTTTCAATCTTCTGCATATGGTCAGCCAGTTATTCCACCACCATTTATTGAATAGGGAGTCATTTCTCCATTGCTGGTTTTTGTCAGCTTTGTCAAAGATCAGAAGATTGTATTTGTATGGTCTTATTTCTGGGCTCTCTATTCTTTTCCATTGGTCTATGTGTCTGTTTCTGCAGCAGTACCACGCCATTTTGGTTACTGTAGCCTTGTAGCATAGTTTAAAGTTGGGTAGTGTGATGCTTCCAGCTTTGTTCTTTTTGCTTAGGATTGCCTTGGTCATTCGAGCTCTTTTTTGATTTCACATGAATTTGAAAATAGTTTTTTTCTAGGTCTATGAATATCATTGGTAGTTTGATAGGAATGGCATTGAATCTGCAAATTGCTTTGGACAGTACGGTCATTTTAATTATATTGATTGTTTCAATTCATATTGCTTGTTAAAATCGACTTCATTCACAAATAAAACTCAAATAAATTGAGAAGTTGTGTATATGTGAATAATTAACACTAAAAGAGGCTCTGCGCCTTAATCATTATGCACATGGATTTAGGAATCAGAAACTGAGCTTGAATCATGGCTTTGCAATTTGCTAGTCTATGACCTTGGACAAGTTATTTAAATTCCTTGAGGCATATTTTTTTCATCTGTGAATTGAATGTAATATATTTTGCACAGAGATTATTGTGAAAATTATAAGAGATCACCCTTATACAGTGCCTGGAGCATTGTTTGGCACATAATAAGTGCTCAATAAGCAGTAGCTTTTATTGTCATTCTCATGAGTTATTTAAATGCTAAAATTTCAACTTTTAGAGAAAATCATTATAACAGAAAATAATTTAATAATGGAAATATTCATTGTAATATGTAAAAAAGTTAAAATTCAGAGATATTCTCTAAAAATGAAAGCCCCATCAAAAGCCCCATGGAATTCAATTTCTCTATAAGAATAGAGTTTTGAAAGTCTAAATTAGGAGCTGTGCTATATAACAGTGCTCAGAATGACTCCACACTAAAACATGTTGTCAAAAATCACAGATATTGACACTAAGAGAAAATCTTACACCAAACAAAATTAATCTTCAAATCCTTGCCTCCAAATAAAGCCTTCTCATATTCCCTAAACACAAGTGGAATGTTTGTATATCAATATTGACTGATTTAATATTACATCATAGGACATAGTTTTGCAACATAATTTTTGAATATAAGAGCATCACTATGAAAGATGAAATTTGTTTTAAGAAAATATACCTTAATTACTACATACAATAAAATATAAAAAACTTATTCTTTATTTAGTGATTCTGGTATTAAAAGAAAAATTAGAAATAAACTTCAGCCCTTGATTTTTAAATTTTACCTCCTAATCCGTTCTAATTGCACCTTGTTTCTTCCTAAGCATCTCTTTACTGTAAAATATATAGCACAAAATAAATGGAAACATTAGATAACCCAAAACTCAAAAAATAAAATTTCCTCTTTATCGATGTCTTTCTCTCCCCATTATATATGCATTTAATAATGCAGCCAATTAAGGTTAATGCCATTCAATCGATTGTAGTCCAATCAAGTCATTATATTCTTTTCTTGTACTGTGTTTTTATTTTTAGAGTTGATCGAATATTCTGTACTGCGATGTGAAAAGGTTGTTAAAATATTGTGTTTCAATTATTTGGATATTCAGGAATATCCAAATCAGGAAAATCCAAATATAAATCAATGTCTAGTTTGAACCCCTAATCCTGGAATGAGAAGGCGAGCACCCAAAAATATTCAGTGGAAATGTTTCATGTATAGTAACAAAATTGATAGTGCATTTGCAATATCCTTTCTTGTGATAGCAAAACACTTCACAGTGTCACAATTAACTCTAAAGATTCATACAGGTACTTACATATACGTCATTGCTTTTTTATTGTGGAACAGTATTCCGTGGAAGCAAACATATTGACCTTATTATGCTGTATAAATATAATTGTAGATTTTGCATGAGCCTATTCATGCATCTTTTGGCTCATATAGACAACAACCTACTCTTTCCTTTGCTCAGTTTATTAATTTTAGAACAAAGGAGGCTTCGGGACTTTCATCTCAATGCAACTAGAATAAGCATTAAAGAATTGGCTACACTCTTCATTCCACTAAGACCAAGAACAACATGATCAAGGTTCAGGAACTACTTTTAAACTCCAGTTGCAAACACTTTGTCAGTTTTATACTGATCATCTTAGCAAAAAAATAAAATATGTCTCTCTAGGCAGAAATCCTCTTACAAAGTGGATAGACCTTGTGTACCCAGTGACAACATAGATGAGAAATATGGAACAGGCCCAGGAGAAAAATCCCCCAGCTCCCTGCACCAGTGTATCCATTATGCTAGCATATAGAAAAGGCCATGTGCTCTGGAAAGTAAAATCTAAATGATCCATTCTTCATCTTACTCTCCATCATTCATAGGTCATATGAATATTATTCTACCAAGAAATGAAGAGTTCCAAATATGCATTTAAAAATTCAATTTGACTGGCATTTATTAAGCATTCACTATGAACTTTGCTAGGCATGGAGAATTATAGAGATAAAGATGACAAAGCTTTAAACACATGCATTCTCAAGCTAGAAATAAGGTAAAATATTATATTTTTGGTTAATCATAAGATATAAACCTCATTTCATAAACTTTGGGCCTGAATTTATGAAATATGAACACCACTACTCTCTTCACTTATGTAGGTCTTTTCACCTTCAAGTATTACATATATTTGTATATTATATTTACATAATATATAGATATAAATTATATGTATAAAATATACACTATGTATAGATGCTAAGTAAATATTTCCCTTCTCATAATGTTTTATTTATTTTTAAACTTTTTCCTCATTTTATTTTTATTGATTGATTGATTGATTTTTATTTTAATAGCTTTTGGGGGAACAGGTGGTTTTGGCTACATGAGTAAGGTTTTAGTGGTGTTTTCCTTTCTCACAACTCTTAATATCACTAAGCATCTGGTCAATTTATTGGAAGATGCATAAGAAAGGCTTTTTGTAAAAAGTAGAAATATTAATGCAACAATGCCTTTTTAATTGGCACATTTGCAACAACACTTTACAGTTTCAGATTATAAGCATTTTGTAATTATTCATCCTATTGCCAATGTTCATTTTTAAATAAAATCTTTTTTATTTAGAAAAATAATTTATTTTATATTTATAGTTTGTCTCAGTAGAAGAAGGCATTGAGTTTTCACAAATGGCCATAAGTGATCGAAAATGTGAACAATTTTGGCAAAAAAATAGAGTTTATCTTTAGAGCATGTATTATTCTGCTATGCTAAAAACATGTAACCTAGAAATGAATTTTACATATGGTATAATATTTTATTGAGAATTTTGTAGTTTACACATTTTAGTGACATATTTTCTTCAGATTACGTTCTCAAAGCTGTTACATATTTGTGGTTCCTTAAAATTTCAAACCTATACAATTTCTGAATTTAACAGATTGTTCTCAAGAATTTGTCCAAAAGTTGAAAATAATTTAGAAGGAATCAATGCTTTAGCAAATATTATTTTACAAGCTAAATGAAGAGGAAACAGTACAGAAGAGGGAACTCTGGGCTTCCCTAGAAGACATAAATCTTAAGTTATATCATTAGTCTTTTCTATGACCTTAGGAAAACCATTTAATATTCAACATACTTAGTGTCATTATTGTAATTTGAATGTTCTCTAGCAACATTTTCAAGTTGTTTATAGGAATTCTGAATTACTTACTCTTTTTAAAAGTAAATATATTAGGGAGTATGCAACCTGCTCAAATCTTGTTCTATAAAAACAATTCACTAAACATGTTCCACAAAACCCAAGAGTTCCATACAGACTTTCAGGGGAGGTCCCTGTAGTTCACATTCTTTAAAATAATAGTGCCAAACATTATTTCTCATATCTACTGAGTTTATATATTCACTGGTCATGCAAAAGCAATGAAGGGTACAATTGCTCGTGCCTTAGCATGATTCAAGATACTAAAGCTTGGCCTAACTAGCAGTTAGACTTTACCAGCACACACTAACAATAATAGTAACGCTGAAAAAAAATCCCAAATTTTATTTAGGAATGCCCTGATGAAGCAGAAAAAAGTCACTTTTATAAATCTTGATTTTTGAATACAGATCTTTTAAATAAAATATTAGATAAATAAAAACTAGATATATAAAAGATATGAAAAAGGTGTGAAAAATGGGAAGTACAAATGAAGTACTTCTGCTGCATATGCCACTGCAAATTATTGTCTCCAGCAAAAAGCATTTACATGACTGTGAAAGTTTAGCATTGAACTGCTACTATTTTCATGAAGAGTTCTTTTTACTTTGAAGAACATTAATAAACTATGGTTGTTTAGATGTCGGTATTTAGTAGATTCTTCTCAAAAATTAATGAAATGATCTTGCCACCTCAACAAAAATAATGGTATTTTTGTCTATGATAAAACTGAAATTTTCAAGTGCAAGCTAGGATTTTGGAAAAATAGTACCCTTCCACGTAAGCTTAACATCTTCCCAATGTTAAATATTTTTCTCATGAGCTATGGTAATATTAACAGATGTGATTTAAAAAATACATTGCATATTAAAATGTTTAAATATGTGGTGGCTCACACCTGTAATCCCAGTAGTTTGGGAGGCCAAGGTAGGAGGATCATTTACGATTTCAAGACTACCCCAGGCAGCATAGAAAGACTCCATCTCGGTACAGTGGCTCATGCCTGTAATCCCAGCACTTTGGGAGGCCAAAGTGGGCAGATTACCCCAGGCTGAAAGTTCGAGACCAGCATGGCCAACAAGGTGAAATCCATCTATACTAAAAATTTAAAAATTAGCCGGGTGTGTTGGCACATGCTTGTAATCCCAGCTACCTGGAAGGCTGCAGCACGAGAATCACTTGAACCTGTGAGGTGGAGGTGCAGTGAGCCAAGATCATGCCACTGCATTCCAGCCTTGGTGGGGGGTTGGAGGGGGCAGAAACTAGCTGAACATAGTGACACACAACTGTGGTCCTAGCTACTTGAAAGGCTGAGGTGGGAGGATTGCTTGATCCTGGGAGGTCAAGGCTGCAATGAGCTGTGATCATGCCACTGCACTCCAGCCTGGGCAAAAAAGTGAGACCCTGTCTCAGAAACAAATTTAAAAACACTCTCAATAAATGCATACATATATTTCATATATTTATAAGTAAATATTGGTAGATGTGTATAAATCAGTGAACCAATATTTTTAGAAAACAGTATTTTTCAAAATATATTGCCTACGATTTTGAAATAATGTATGAGTAAAAAATACATTCAAATGGCGAGATAGAATATTGGATGAATGTAGCAGAATACAGTAAATTCATTTATGTGGTTTAAGATTCTACATTGCAATTTGTATTAAGGAAACTACCACTTGTCTGTTTAGTGGAGCGTCAAAAAGAAATACTCATAATTATCTGAAAAGGCTTTTAAATTCACTTCCTTTTTCTGAAAGAATATAAACATCAGACCTGATTTTCTTTTCATATTTTAGCCAAAACATATATTATAGATATAGTGCAGTAGAATATATGAAAATCTAATTGTCTTCTAAAAAGACAAATTTGCCAAAATACATTGCTCAATAATAGTTGTGTGGGAAAATGTTTTTATAAAAATATAAGTTATTTTTGTTAAAATGTAATAGATTTATTAATGTTGGTAAGTGAATTAAAAATAAATATTTTAAAAGTAGTGGGTATAGTTTTTAATTTAGTAAATATACTAGATAAAACCCAAAGACACAAAAGGGTTTTGGGGCTCCTCAATTATTTTTAAAAGTGTAAAAAAGCTGTGGAAATCAAAATGTTTAAAACACTCTAATTCTGAGGAACAAAATTTTCCCTCTCAGTTTATTATCAGTCTCATGTGACCACTATGTAATGCCATTAATACTAGATAATATCTGTAGCAAAAAGACTAAGAAGTCTACATTAAGAGAAATACACTTCAGACTAATAAAGAGTTGTCTTGGTAATATTGATGTTGCAGACTTTTTCTGGTGTGGTATTCCTTGTAAATATAAAATTGCTTTTCAAAAACTTAGAAATCAGCTATTTATGTCTTTGTCTATTAAGGACAATAATTTAGAAAAGATAAATATTCTATAGAATATGGAAACATTTGAAATAATGGTAGGATACATACATATTTGAAATATTTGAAATAATGATGGAATAATGGTGGAACAAGTATGTTGAATTATTTGATATTAACAAAATTAATATATAAAGGATCTCAAATTTAAGACCTGTTACTTCCCTTTAATATTTTGATATAAAATAGAATAGAATTTTTGAAACATAAATTAGTAGTCAAGAAATGTATATATACATACACATATGTATATGCATATACATATGTAGAGAATACTATATTATTCCATTCTGTATTTTTTCTTGTATACATATGGAAAATGCATAAAGCTCTTAATGGAGACAAGGACATTTTCTAGGGAAATCCAATCTGCCTGTTGCATTTCATAGGTTGTACAGCATATAAAAATACACATTTGATTCTGAAGGTGATAAATGAGAAGCAGTAAAATGTCCTAGCACTAATATTTACACACATACAATATGTAATGCTGTGTAGAGCAGCATTTTAATTAACACTTTATGAATTTAATAGGAATTATAATTTATGTTGATATCAATATCCACTCAGAGGAATACATTAGTTTTGATTTGTTTCTTTCCATGCCTCTATCTAGGGGTTCCTGTGCTGTCACTTTGAATTATACTAATTTATTGTGTTTATTTTTTCTACACATTCAATTTAACATTTTTAAACACTCTGTAACAGTGTGAGATGAGTAGAAATAGTATTATAGACTCCATTCATTAACTCGTTTTTACATCCTAATACTTTTTCTTACAGGTTTCTATCACTTTTTTTTGCTGATCATTTAATTTGTCCTAGCAGGAAGAATTTAATTTCCTGAAAGATAACAAGATCCAGGAGTTACTCTGTGATTTTTCTGTTGCCACATTTTATATAGCTCACATTGTCATAAGTAGGTTGTGAGCTTTTCTAAGGCACAACCTTGAGTTACAGTTCATATTTACTCCAGCCAGACTCTGGTATGAAGTTGTTTATTCACACATTGCGTGCTATGTGGATGTGCTCTAACAGGCTTTATGTTAACTACTGAGTAAACAGAGATAAAACAAAAAATTCTTCCCTTAGAAATTCATGGGCTACTGTGTAGATTAAAAAATCTACATGCAATTAAAATGAATGTGATCAGTGCTCTGAGGTTAAGTACAATATAGTGATATGAAGGAAACAAGCAATCCCCCAGACACAAAATTTTTGATATTTATTTTTACCAACTGATTGAAAAAACGTTTTCCAAGTGGGGAAAAATACTAAAAGAGTTTTGTCATTCTCAACGTTTCTGATATAGGCCAGTGACAGAAACAGAGAAATATGGCCCATGAAAGTGATGAAGCGTTATGAGTTGTTATGGTAGATAGTAAATTTGAAACTGGGAGAATATCACTAGCAAATTTAAATTTAGGTCTTGATTTTACTCAAGTTGCAGTTTCCAGGGACTGTCCAAAGGATGGCAAAGGCCAAATATTCTAGCGAGTGAAGAGGAAGACCCAGTGACTCTCATAGGTACAATAAGATTCAAGTATAGAGCAGAAAACCTAGTTCCCTACATTTATACAATGCACTTTTACTGAGCCTCAATTTTATCTTTCATGTACATGTAGCACTATTAGGTCTTTGAGGTAGGGGCACTGCGGAAGAAGGGGAGTCACCTGAATGAATAATAAATAGCCCTTGACTTCTAGTATGGAACAAAGACAAATTCACCAATATGGACCATATATCAGAATAAATACTTTAAAATTGCTATATATCAGCTATAGAATTTTAAAGAAAAGATTCTTTATGTTGGCTCTAGATGATTAGGGAAGGCTTGCTAGATAGAACATTTTAGAGGTGCACTTTTAGGATAGATAATTGTTAGCAGTCTAGAATTAAGTGGGCAATGAAATTATCTATACATATGTGATGAAATTAATGTCATAGTAGAACACAGGATTTCAGAACTCAAGAGTTTTTAGAGGTATCCTAATCCAAGCTCCTTGATGGACAGATGAGAAAACTAAGACCCAAAGAAATAAAGTGACTTACCTAAGGAAAACCTAGTTAATAAATAGCAGTCATAGGACCATTACTCACATTTCCCAATTGTCAGAATTGAGTTTTTTCCATTATTTTCCTCCTTTACTTCCTTTGCTGATGAATTCACAAATATGCAGTTTTTCATGAACAACCATTCAATATTATGTACCTCTGAGGTCTTTTCATGGGTTATGAAAACTCATAACTTACAACTTATAAAATAAAATATTCATAAAATATTAAGACTGCAGACTCAATGTTTAAAAATATACTATACTCTAGAGTCATATAACACAGTCCTAATGATTTTGAACTACACTACACGGTGACCACTATTAGCTCCAATTTATAATAAGGATTTGATTCTTCCCAAGGCAATGAGAGTAAATCCCCACACAATTTCTCACTAACTCATTCCAAGCAATTTTCAGGGGTGGATTAGTCAATGAAATGTGGCATTCTTTTGCTGCATTGTGTGATGTGACTTGAAATAAATTGAAACAAATCGGTTTAATTTGCCATGGAACACATGCCATTAAGTGGCTGAGAGCTTGTGTTTTACCACATAGAAGGCATGTAAGAAAATAAGCACTAAGGAAAAATAATTTAGGCATCACGATGTAGTTTTGTCTTCCTCAGCCTTCTCAGGTATAATAGCTTTCACTTGATTTACTTTTTATTTGTAGATGGACTGCCAATACTATCTATGGTATTGACTAAAGTGACACAGGAAATCATTATCAAGGAATTGATTAACTTTTAATACGTTGTTCTAATGTATGAATGTTTGGTTAGATTAACACATCTTAATTTTAAAATAACAACAATAGTCCTAATGGATCCTGGAGTTTATCTAAGTTATTTTAAAAAACTGCATTCATGCCAAAATATTACCTTTAGTGAGAATTCCAAATTAAAAGATTATTTTTGAATAATCTGGGCTCACTTCAGTTATTTTTAAAAACATGTATGTGTTTGCCAACAACATTGTGTGACACAGTAGTGTACTATTTCAATTAATAGAGACTAATGAGAAAAGAAGGTAGATATACTACATAAATGATGAAGAATTTTGGTCTGGGAAAAGGTGTAGATAATAATGAGTTATTCAAATGATCACGGTATATGTTAGTATAGAAATGCTAACCTTTATAGAACTATTGTCAGTAGCGGCTACTGTCATAGTGATGTTGAAAGAAGCTATTTTGTTTCATCAAAACAGCATCATCTATCACATGAAATCGATGACAACGTTTTAAATGTTGATATTTTGTATTTAATTAACTTAGATTTATGTTTATTAGAGTCAGAAGAATATGTAGTTTACAAGTACTTTTAAGTTTGCTACATGATAAAGTATATTATAATAAAAATAATTTAATTAAAAACTAAATGTCCATGTGAATATTTTATTAGGTTTGTACAACCTTCACATTTTGAGAAACAAATATATATTCATCTTTAAATATATTTAAAGACATGCTAAGTGATATTAATTATGTAATAAAAGTTCACATTCTAATAGCATATTTTTAGTGTTATTCAATTAGATACTATTAATCATAATAAAGAGTACCTCATTTAATATTTATACAATATTTTGGGAGAATAGAAGTTGAATTTTACCAATTTATTTTCAATCCCTATTAGAAAAAGTTCTAACCATTTTATTAAATATTAAATATTTTCACTGAATGTTATAATTGATTGTACTAATTGGCTTTCTAACTTTTTTATTACCTTGCAATAAATCTTATTTGTCTATGGTTATCTATCATTTTATTTTACGACTGGATTAAGGTGCTAGTGCTTTTTTCTAATATTATTGGCTAATTTTTTATAATATTATTGATTATTTTCTAATATTGCTTTTATAATGTTATTTCTCTGAATGCTTATTTCAAAATTATGCTATTTGAAATATATAATCATAAATTTAATAGAAAAAAGTTTTAGTCTTTTGTTTATATTGAACTAGATTACTGGACATGAAAATGATCAGCATCTTGAGAGGCTGAGAGAATTTTTGTGATGCCATTTTTAGATGTAGTTCTTTAAAATAATTAATTTAACAATATCATATTTATTGTACACATACACTTCGCATATTCTATTTCTCCTTAAATTAATTGAGTAATTTCTCTGAAAATTTTAATCAAGTTTATAAAACAAATGTCAGTAAGTTTTAAATGAGAATATATTGCTCTATGTCCTGGATCATTCATGTTTTTACTTTTTGTTTCTTGATTAGATGTTATTAAATTAAATTTATTTCTTTTGTATTGCTTATTTTATCAAAACACATTTTTTAAAATGTAAAATATTGTATTAAATTATTATCCATGTTTTCCTGTTTTAATTAACAATTTTATTGGATTTTTTTCTTTAAATTCCTAATACTTAACCTTTTGTTGATAAAATATATACGGTATAATGTGATTCAAAAATGAGCAAAATAATAATAATAATGATAATCCCATAGACTTTACATGTATTTTCTTTTTAGTTTGTATTTTCTATTTTATTGAATGTTGTTTTGGTGCCATGTTCCACTTTTTCTTTTCCTTTTAAATGATTACACTATTTACTTATTTATTTTTACTTCTATCACTATTATTTGAATTTATTATGTTATTTACAAAAAGTATAGACTAAGTAATTTCTAATTGGGGAAATTTATCAAAGTTTTCTTTAAGATTATCATATGTTTATGTAATTTTTAAACATTTTCACCACTGAAGAAAAAAAGGAAAAGCAAGCATATTATCTGCATATAACACAAATTGTTAGAGTTCCAGCTATTAAATATATCTTAGTGATTTTATTGTTTTAGTTATATGTATTCTTTCCTTTTGTCTAACTTTATGTCAAAATATGAAAGCTAATATTTTATTTCTCTCAAATTTATTTATTTTGATATTATAATATTACTTAGAGTGCTATATTATCAATCACAGATGTTTAAAATAAATGATCTTCCTAAAATAAATTAGAAAAATTGGTCATTTTTCTTTATTCTGGATTATATTAAATAAGCTAAATAAGTAGTGAGTATTTATTCATTGTAATTATTTGCAATAAAAATATTTTATTTATCATGAATATTACCTTCTCAACATATTTATTGTAAATGTATTTTTTATATAATACACATAAAATTTGCATTTATTATGGATTCTACTTTAAATCCTAAGACATAATTTGTCTTTTTAAAAATTTTTCATAAGTAGTTCAATGAGTGGGAAAAACATGCATAAGAACAAAGGAATATTTTTTACTTTCTTATGATTTCCTTTTCTTAGGATGATGGGTTACAGAAACTCATAAATAACGTGGCATATCTTTAACTGCAAGCAATAAAAATGAAAAAAAATAGAATGCAGATGAATGGAGAGTAAAACAAGACCTGGTGCTTGCCATCATGGCCTATGCAGTATTTTACGTGAGTCATCAAATTGGCTCTAGGATTTCTGATAGCTAGTGTGAAAAGAGAAACTTTCGATTATCAAAATCCATCTGTCCACAAGATAAACAAATAAATAAACAATTTAAAAACCTACTTACTCATGAGAATTAAAGCTGTTCTTTGTACTTACAGCAGTGGGGAAATAATCTAAGATGCCCTAGTTCGGGGACATTAAATAACTACATGTTTTTGAATGAGAAACATTATCATCTTTACAGTGCATTTTATAGGATTCTTTTTCAGAGCAGACTTCAATATTACTCAGTGACTTCAAATCAAAGTAAAAATAATGAAAGACAGCTGAATGGGAAGCAAATACAATATGATCAAATGTGAGTGTGAGGATGCTGTAGAATGTTCTGGTCAGGAAAGCTGTCGGAGATTTATAAAACAAACAAAAACAACCAGCCGGTCTCAGTCTATAAAACTGAGAGAACTTGATTGCCCGGGGTGAATCAGAATCTAATACTCCAAAATTGTCTTCCCTAGCCTCTTCCTTCTGGTAACACTGATAATGGAATCTAAAGTCAATTTTATGTCCTTTCAGAAGGAAATTAATGATTCTTGGCCAAAATGACACTGATGCGGGTGATCTAGACTCTCTCATCTTTGGAAAGCTTATTGGTGAAACATCCAGAGAAGGAAATTTAGAAATTACCCTGGAACAAGATAGGTGATGGAGGGCTGCAGATTGCCCTTGCTTGACTGTAATGACGAATCAGTATTAGATATAAAGTTGCGATCGCTATAGTATTTTTCTTCTTTTCTAAAGTTAATTTACTCCTAAAATGTTTCTATCATACAGATTTTCACGTGGACATTTCCTAAAATGTAGACAGCTCCTCCATAAAGAATTCCTGTCAGCCCGGCGCGTTGGCTCACCCCTGTAATCCCAGCACTCTGGGAGGCTGAGTGGGGTGGATCAGTTGAGGTCAGGAGCTCGAGACCAGCCTGGTGAAACCCCATCTCTACAAAAATACAAAAAAAAAAAAAAAAAAAAAATTAGCCGCGCGTGGTGGCGCACGCCTGTAAATCCCAACTGCTCAGGAGGCTGAGAGACGAGTATCGCTTAAACCCAGGAGGCAGAGGTTGCAGTTAGCCGAGACCGTGCCATTGCACTCCAGCCTGGGCAACAGAGTGAGATTTCATTTAAAAAAAAAAAAAATCCTATCAAGGAACCCCATGTGCGGGTTTGCAGAAGGGAGAATTGCCAGAATTATGAGCAATGTGTACCAAATCTTGTAAGAATAGATTGTGATAAGCTATTTATGGCTCTGATATAGATGTGTATGATCGTTGGTCTGGAGTTGCCAAAATGAAGGTGCAATAGCGCAGTGATTTTGTGGTTTATTGAATTTTTTATTCCAATTTTTAACTCTATTTGATAGTCTTTCAAATACTTCGAAAAGTACTGTTTTCCACATTAGCAATGACCTTGGAATTTTCCTTATGAACTTGTTTAAATGTTACCATTTGTTCATTTGATTTTATGTAACTTTTTAACAGTCTCTAAATTTTTAAAATTTATAGATTGGGTTATTGGATGCTAGAAATCAGGGACTAATTTTTCGTATGACAGCTTTTACTAAATTTTCATTAAAATGTAAAAAGCTATTTGAATACGTCTTATGATTATTAACTAATTCATGATTTCAAATTAGGAGTCTGTAAAGAAAAAATAATAAAAATATTTTGTGTAAAATTAAGTAAATAATTACATAATAAGTGAATAGAGAAATTATAAGTAAAAGTATAGTCTATTCTCCCAGGAAGGTGAAAAATATATAAGAATACTTTTCCTAATTTTCTAACATGGTGGTATTTTCTTTTTATCCTTACAAACAACAGATTACCTTATTTTTCTTATCTACTTTGATAAGAAAAATTAGTTTAAAAATGTAACACCTTATTTTTCTTATCTACTTTGATAAGAAAAATTAGTTTAAAAATGTAACACATATGCAAAAAATACAGAAATGTACATCTCAATGCATTATATCACAATGAATAGCATATTACATAGCAATGTTAGTACTCCAGAGTATGCATTCCAATTTCTCCTTGAATCATTGCACAGTTCTTACCCAAAATAATTATTGACTTCATGGTAACATTTTTTCATGTCTTTCTTTTGTTGTTTAGCAACTAAGCATATATTTCTTAGTAGTATAGTTCAGTTGTATAGTTTAATTTTTAAGAAGTGGAATATATTATACATTCATAGAAACATTTGTACATGTATTAAGGCATATGTTATATAACTAATCATCTATATACATAATTTTGTGCATACATAACTTTACACACTTTCTTGGTGTACATATATTTCTATTTCTATGTTACTACCTCTGAAAGTAGAATTGTTGGCTCATATCATAGGCAAATCTCCACTTTTAAAATATAATGCCTAACTAATTTCAAAAATATGTGCCAATTATACTTCCACCAGCAGTAGATGAAAGGTCCTTTTGTTTCAGGTCCTCAGTCAAACTTTACTGTCAGGTTTTAATTATAGCTACTTGGTAGATGTGTATTAGCAGTCCATTGTGTATATGTTTTCTCAAATGTATCAAACATTGTTTTTTACTGAATGAGAGTACTACATAAAAGTACTAATTGAAAAACATACATATTTAGCAACTAAAATTTTACCATAATTTTATTTGCTTGATTTGAATACAGTTATCTATTTTTTTCTTGTGAACAAAGATGTCAATTAGCAACGAATTACGTTTATTGGTTAGTAATATGCATAACAAAACTCATTATTGAGTCTGTTAACTAGGAAAAACATTGGTATTTCCCAATATAATAGAACGGTTTGCACAATGTCTTTTTTATAATATCTATTTTATATAATCACTTTCAGTATGTTATAGAATTATCATATTTAGTGTCCCATAGTTTAGTACTTTATATGAATCAATTCCATTTATGAGCTTTAATTTATTTTCATATTAGTTGAAAAAGAAAATCAAATGCTATTAAATCATTTTCGTAAAGTTTGAAATTAGGGAACAGTTTTTGTTTTAATCTGAAACTCTAAAATTATTGGAATGTAGTTTAGATCATCACTTTTATTTTCAAAAACCACTTTCAGTGTAGCATACTCATTTAAATTGTTTTTGTCAAATCCAATTTCCAAAGATACATTTTTGCTAGTATTAAACTAATAGAACAAACATTTGTTTGCTAGTCATGGAAGCCCTTTCAGAGAAATGTGCAAAGTGTTTAAATGTTTTGTAATGTCAACCAAAAAAAAAAAAAAAGGCTAAACCTTAGTGTGCAGATGTCTTATAATGGCAACCCCAAATGGCTAACCCTTGGAGGAAATAACAAATTAAATTTCTTTTCAACAATTCAAAACACAAAATTGGTATCATGTTCATACATCCTTCTGTAGTATAACACTGTCGTGCTGTCTTATTCTGTGCTGCTATAACAAAATGTAAGTAATTTTTTTAAGGGAAATTTACTTTCTCACAGTTCTGGAGGCTGGGAGGTCCAAGATCAAAGCACCTGTAGTCCTCACATGGCAGAACAATGGAAGAGCAGGCTAGCAAACTAGCTGAATGCTGTATGAAACACCTGTTATAAGGACTTCCATTCCATTAACAAGGAAGGCACCTCACAGCCTGATCATCTCTTCAAGTCTCCACCTCTTAATACTATCACATTAGCAACATCTGAATTTTGGAAGAAACACATGCAAATCATAGCACATGTCATGTATGTATTTGATCAAGGAGAGCATTAAACATTTTGTGGTTCAATGCAGTAAGTGAAACAAACAAACGAGAAAACTAACCCAGCCATTTATAACTTTTTGCAGAAGTGTGGTGTGCTATCCAGATTTTCTCTTTCAGGAAGGAAGAACCCATTGTCTTAGATGCTGGGAGTATTGATGGCTGAAAGCTCTCTGCTGATTTACCTCTTTGCAGTTGGCTTGGACTCAAGAGAGCTACCTTGCCCAAACTTTTGTCCACCATTTCCGGGGCAGGCTGAATCCAGTGATAGTTCAATGTGATATATAAATGTCCTGATCCTCTGCCTTTACTTAGAGCAATTTTGTAAGCCTAACCCAGCTCTAGAGCTCCCGGAAGGATTGACTAAATCTTTTACTCTTACTTCAGTACATTTCAACTTTTCCCTCTTTCCCATCCTACAGTTGTTCATCCTAAGAACCTCCATTAACTTCTTGCATGAATTTCTTTCTTAGAGTCTTGCTTTCAAAGACATTTACCCAACCTACTAGAGTCATTGCCAGGAGAGGTCCAAAAGAGCAGACTCAGAACTAAGATTTTGGAGCTAGATCATTGTTAGCAGGCAATGAGAACCCCATCACTGGTTGTGGATGGACTATTCATAGTCCTTGGCATATGGTAGCAGTACAACTGTTAAAAATTTCACTCAACTAAGGTAACATACTGGAAATAGAAAATGAAATGGCTGATGCAACATATTAAGAATTCGACATGTAGTGGAGGAATCAGGAATCACAGTTATAAGGGAAACAGAATTGGATAGCTGTTGCTTGGGTGTTAAACGCTTTAGAGAAAGACAAGTGAAGTGTGAGGCCAGAAGGTCCACTTAAGAGCTATAAATAGACTCTTATCTCCTACAATCAGTGGGCAGAAAATCTAAAGACTAGGTCTAGGACTCAATATAGGAGTAAGCAGGAACTAGGGAAGATTGAATTATCAGTCCTGGAAGGTACACCACACTACCATCAGGCTGAGAAGTAAGTGTGTAGGATAAGGGATGGGAAGATCTTGGTTGAAATTTTTGAATTTCTGGAATTCCCTGGGAATCAAATTTCTCTGCAGTCATAGCCTACATCTGGCTCTTCAAGGCTAGCACTCTCCCTGTTTTGGAAGACAATGCAAAGGGCTCTTCATTACAAGACAGGAACAACCCTAGATATCTAGACAAATAAATGACGTCAAACATAACTTAGCCAGCATAGTGCTAGGCATCCTAAGGAAAAAACATAAAACTCTATCTAAATCTAAATACTCAGTAAATAAGTATTCACATAACCCAATAAAATAAATACAGGACTGCATTCTGAGGATACCAAATCAAGAGAAGATATGTAGATAACAAGGTCGGTTAAAAGAGAGTTTATCAATATGGAAACATTGTCTTATGATACAGAATGTAACATCCAGGCAAGGACACTGACGTGCTCTTAGGATGGCTATTAGAAGCATAAAGACATAGCTGTATACATTAAGTTAAAATGTCAAAACTGCTCTGGTAGATGGTGACAGAAGAAATCAAAAGGCTCAGATTATTGGATATTCTAGAGTGCATATATTCTGTAAGGTTGCAAAACACACGATGTGGACATTTTGTGAAAGTGTGTGAACGTGGCATTATAAAATCAATAAGAGACTCTGTTAAGATGGGCACCAACATCACCAAGAGAATCAATGGAGGTTGTGCTTGTAGGTTACGTTTTATGATCGGAAAACCATCTGTGAAAGGGCACTCTAACTGTACTCAAGCTTTTAGTCTGTGCCAGGCTGCCGACCTGTGTGAATGCCTCCTTACCAAACATACACTTTAACACCCCATGCTTGTTTGCTTTATTTTGCCTGTGTATTTATTACCCAACATGTGATCACGCACATTGCACTTGTCCATGACCCTCCTGCACAGACATTCTTCTCACCTGGCTTGAGTTTCAACACCCTGCTTTAGACCACCAATACTCAACACTCAACACACACACACACAGACACACACTCATGCAGACACCAGCTTCTGTCCTACCTAATGGATTTTCGACGGATCTATTCAGGAAGGGAAAGCTAAGGGGAAGAAAGGAAAAAGTGAAAGAGAAAAGAAAAATGGAAGAAGAGATAAAAAGAAAAAAAGAAAAAGACTTTACATTATGGTCTGAAATCATATTGTTCTTGCTTTTACATTTTTGCTTTTTTTGCTTGTGCTTTTAAGTAAGATCAAGTTTCAGCTTTTGTCTCTAAATTTTTGCTGTTGTTCTAGAATAATGTATGAAAAATTTCATACTTTCTTTCTACTTTGGAGACCACTTTTATTCCAATATGTCTTACATTAATCTTTCATACAGTCATGGATGTTTCTGCACTCTCAATTTTACCACTTTTGCTATTCATCTTCATTACTGTAGTTTTATTGTATTTTTTGATGTTTATTAGAATAACTTCTCCCACTTTGTTCTTTTTATTAAATGTCTTTAGATATTCTTGGTCCTTTGCATTTCTGTATACATTTTATAATTAGTTGCCAAGAATACCCTTTATTATTTGCATCTGCCTGCAAAACAGATCAGCAATGTTGAATTCTGTCAAATTTTTTTTTTCTGGAAATGCCATCTTATCTTTATTTTTCAAAAATACATTCTCAGGGTATTGACATCTAGATTGAAAGTTATTTTTTATTATTTAAATATATCATTACATTTGCATTTGTTTTGGTTGAGAAGTGTGTTCGTAAAGATAAACTAGATGTAATAAACTGTGTTAGTGAGGTTATGCCTCAGTGAGTATCTCTAGCCTCAGTGCTTAAGACAAAATTCCTCACATGCAGTACACATATCATTTTTCCTCAAACCATTCTCAATCGAAAATACAAACTGAACACGGTGGTCTGGGGAGGGCGTGTGGGTGGCAGTCAGCGGCGTTTGAGTCCGCCATTGGCAAGCTGGGCTGGGTGTCGGGGCAGGCAGGGCTCCTGGGGCAGCGGCTCATGCTCCAGGCCCTTGAATGTCCGCTATAGCTACGGCAAAAGGAAGAAAATGTCCGTGTGTGTGTGTGTGTGTGTGTGTGTGTGTGTGTGTGTGTGTGTGTGTGTATGTTCTGTTCTAGCTCCTTTATTGTTTTTATCATGGTGGTTAAACTCAATCGCAAAGATTGTCATTATCAGAAGTGGAAAATTCATTTTAATTTTAGTATTCTCCAGGCAAAGACCTTTAAAGCCATTCCCCTGTAACCCAGTGCAATGTAGAAAACATTACATTTCCTGAAAAACTTAAGTGCAATATTAATTGTATTCTACACTTTTAGTAGTTCAATTCGTCTCTAAACTTAAATGCAACATAGCTAACATACAATTTTCCTATACTTGAAAGGGAAATTCGCTCCTTATAGTCTTTCATTTAGGTCTTTCAGCTTTTACCTTTCTTTGATTCTAAGTGGTGTCTAGAGCATGTTTTCTAGAACTGTTTTGGAATTTATTTATATAGTTATCTATAGAGTTTATTTACTCTTGAATAAAATAAATGCCTATTATTGTAAAACTAGCTAAAGATTCCTAATTTTTATCTCACTATTTATTCATGCCCATATCACCATTCCCTTCTTACCTATTAATACAATAGTATGCTTTTGATTAATAAACATTGAGATTCTTGACATTTTACTGTTGTACTTGCATGTTGCTAAATTCTCTCTTTCTGCTATTTTCACAGTCAGGTTTCCTTATGGAGTTACATAGTTCTGATTTTGTTATTCCTTAGTTTGCTGCTTATTACCATTTTATGCACATATTTTAAAAACTTCTGAAAATGCCCTTCCTGTAATGTACAATTGTGAGGGTCATTTGACACTAAGCAAAATGCTTAGGCCACTGATTAAAGTGTTAAATATGAGGTCTAGGATCATCCCCTGCTGGATATTTTTAAAAATTGTTCTTCAATTTGACACTGATTAACAGCTATGTAAACAAGGATTACTGTGTCTTGTGGTGTGTAGGAAAGAGTGAAAAATTATGGTATTGATTTTGTTCTAATCACAAAGATTTTTTATGGAATGAGAGGTTTACTTATAAATACCAATAGTAGTGTATTCAAATAAAGTAATTTATTTACATTAGTGTTACTTTGTCATAATGTAATTACTCAAAATGTAATCCATGAGTAAATAAAATTAATTAATACCATAAAACAATAGACACAACAATTCCATTTTTTGCAGCAATTGCAATCAATAATGTGAAAATGAGAAAGTAAATGTAAGTACAAAACCAGCCTCTGTTGAAAGTAAGTAATCACAAGCAATCCAGAAAAATCAATTACAATATTAACTTGATTTATTCAGTAGGTGACATTTTATATTATATTAGCTTAACTACATAAAATTAATAGTAATTATAAGCAGAGTACCTGAAAATAAAGATGAAAAAACATAAAATAGTGTGTTATTGTCTAAGTTCTTAACTGTTTTTTGGAAAAAAGAAAGTGGGGGGATGCATAGGGAGGAAAGAAGGAAAGAAGAGAGGAAGGAAGGAAGAAAACAGAAAATTCACCTAGGATTTAAATTAATTCTGTACTTTCACTGAAACTGTTTCAAGTCCAACTATTGTATAGATGATTTTTCTTTAAGATTCTTTGAAATTCTCAATAAATTTGGATTAGAAAATAATATTAATTATTTACTACTGTAGTCCATTTTATGTAAAAACCTGTGCCTTAAAGAAATATTAATAATGCCCCAAATTAAGAGCCTATGTGAAATTTCACTACGTAGACCTGACCAGCTTCACAGGGGGGAACATTTTCTGAGTTCATAACATGTTCCATAACACGTTCATGGCTGAATTAAAAAAAACAAAAAAAAACAGTGCAAGCTATTGTTAACAAATAATTATAAATTATTCTTTCGTGTAAATGAAGACCTTCCTTGTTCTACTGAATGTTTCCTATTCTAATCCAATTTAAGGTAGTATTAATGGAAGAAGTGTATTTCACCCTAACAAAAATGATTAGTATTTTTATAGTATTTTTAATGAATCTTTCATACTGTATCCTTTGTTTTATTTTACCTATATTATTTAAAGCAATTATTCCATTTTGGTATATAAAAATATCATAGAATTAAAAAGCACTAACTTTGAATGTGTGTTTTATCAAAGATGAAGACGCAGCTATATTTCTAGTGTTAAAGAGAGGCTATCTTATATTTATACTATATTTTATATCTTCAAGAGTGTTCAGAATGGATTGAATTTGTTTAAAAAAATATGTTAAGAAGGGCCATGCATGGTGGCACTTGCCTATAATCCCAACACTTTGTGAGGCCGAGAGGATAGGATCTCTTGAGGCCAGGAGTTTGAGAACAGCCTGATCAACATGGGGATACTATGTCTCTAGAAAAATAAATAAACAAATAAGCAAGAAAGCCAGGCATGGTGGCATGAATCTGTGGTCCCAGCTACTCGGGAGGGTGAGGCAGGAGGATCGCTTGATCCCAGGAGGTCTAGACTGCCGTGAGCCAAGATCACACCACTGCACTCCAGCCTGGGCAAAAGAGCAAGACTGTCAAAAAAAAAAAAAAAAGAAAGAAAAGAAAAAGAAAAGGAAGACTTCAAGCACCTGGTTGGTGTTGTTTGTGGTATCTTACTTAGAATGTATTTAAGTTCTCTGAGAAATAGTAGTAAATAATTAAATATTTGATTTAATGCTTATGTGCAAAGTACTGTAAGATATAAAAAGAAATATAAGGTTTAATCTTAAGTAAAAAATTTCAGAGATCATATGGAAAGTGATCTCTTTTATATATGTTTCTGTATAAATTTATATAAATAACATCCTGATTTTAAGAAAGTTATAAGAAAGTTAATCATTTACCAAGTGAAAGCTACAAAAACTTAGCGTATCGATTTTAAAGTGAAAGAGATCATGCTTCTCCCTGGGGTGTTCAGTAGAAATTTCACAGAGGAAGAGAAACCTGAGTTTCCCAAAGACTAATTGGATCAGGTCTGGCTTAGTTTTCTCCTAGATGTTTGATATGAGAATCACATCCCTGAGATCAGATGTGGGTGGGGATGTGTAGTTACTTGAAATGGCAAAGATTGGACATTGTCATATGGCTTAATCATTGCAAAGCACTGATTGCATAAGTAAGAATAACATTTCTGGCACAACAGCAGGTTCACAAGACAAGGAGTGATGACAGAAACAACAGGTCCAGAAGAGCTACTAATACAAAGATAGAGGGGATAACAACAGAAATAGGGAAAACAGTGGACTTGGGTAGATTACAACAATAACAACAACAAAAAATGGTGCTGGAGAATTGAGCATTGTTTTTGTTCCTGACCACTTATAGAGCAATTTAGTAGAGAAGGGTAGGGTTTTTGTTGTTGCTGTTGTTGTTAAGTAACCATTTTACTTAAACAGATTTCACGTTTTGTTTAAAACTTCGTCAAGTATCTGAGAGAAACAATTTCATGACAAATTTCAATGGCAGTATGGTTTAAGTCTAAAGTGATATTTGGGTGTTCAAGTGAACATTGAATTATGGGATAAATTTTAAATTTTAAAGATTAAATTGAAAGATTAAATTTGATTCTTTTGGCAGTATGATCTGTGTACCTGCAGTTGCCCAATTTCCCTCATAAGTGAGATATTATAAAATTATAGGACAATATTACAATCAGGAAATTGACAGTGAAAAAATAAAGATAAAGAATATTTCCATCACCACAAGGATCCCTCATTTTGTCTGTTTATAACCATGCCAATTTCCCATCTCCATTCCTTCCTTAAACCCAGACAACCACTCATCTTTTCTCTATGTCTATAATTTAGTCATTTAAACAATAAATGCTACGTTAATGGAATCATGCACTATGTAACCTTTTGGTATTGGTTTTTTTTTTCACTAAGCATAATCCTCTGGGGATTCATCCAGGTTTTTATATGTACCAATGGGTGACTGCTTCACATTGCTGAATAGTGTTCCATGATACGGATCTACTACAGTTTGTTTAGTCATTCACCCATGTACAAACATCTAGGTAGTTTCTGGTTATTGACTATTGTGAATAAAGCTGCTATATACAATCATGTACATGTTTTGTGTCAACATAAGGCTTGATTTCTTTGGGATAAATGTTTAAGAATGTTATAGCCGAATTATATGGTAGTTGCATATTCAGTTTTATGAGAAACTGCCAATCGTCCACTATAACTGTACTAATATACATTCCCACCATCAGCATATAAATGATCCATTTGCTTTTCATTTCTCTAGTATTTATTAATATCATCCATTTTTAATTATACCCCTTCTCATAGGTGTGTGCTAATATCTCATTGTGGTTTATTTGCATTGCCCTAATGGGAAATGATGAGGATCTTCATGTGTTTATTTGTCCTTATTTGACATTTCAGTGAAATGTCTCTTTGTCTCTTTTGCCCATTTTCTAATCAGATTTTCATTTTTTTTTAACTCATGAATTTTGAGGGTTGTTTATTTATTCCAGATACTAACATTTTGTTGAATATATGATTTGCAAACATTTTTTCCAAGATGTGGCTCTTAATAGGGTCTTTCTTAGAGCAAAAGGTTTTTTTTGATTAAGCAAAATGTATATTAAATTTTTTTATTTATGAATTATGCTTAGTATCAAGTCTAATTACATTTTTTGCCTAAACATAGGTCCACATATTATTCTCTTATACTTCTTTCTGAAACGTTTATATTTTTAATTTTTCATTTATAATGTATGGTTTCACCTCATAACTAATGGACATAACTCATTTTGAGTTAACTTTTGCACAAGACATAATTTTTTCTTTAATTTGGCTATGGATATCTAATTTTTAAGTAAAATTTGTTGAAAGGCCATATTTTCTTTATGGAGTTGTTATTGTTCTTTTGTCAAAAATAAATCAGGCATATTTGTACAGGTCTATTTCTTGTTTCTTAATTGTGTTCCATTGATCTATGTGTCTCACCTCCTAATAAAACAAGTCGATTGAGTAGATTATTCCTCCCACTTTATTTTTCTTTTTTTAAATTATTTTTACCATTTCTGGTTTCTTTGCCTTTCTATACAAGTTTTAGAATAATCTTGTCTATAGTATGTTTGCCTATTGCATATTTATGTACAAAAATTAATCTTCCTGGGATTTTGATAAGACTTGCATTAAACTTGCATATCAACTTGGGGAAAACTGATATCTTTATTAGGCTGACTCTTCTAATCCATGTACACTATTTGTCTCTTCATTTATTTAGCTAATCTTTGATTTCTTTCATTGATCTTCTAAGTTTTCTAAATAAAATTCCTGTATGTGTTTTGTTAGATGTGCATATTAAGTATTTAATTTGTTTAATTATTGTAAATACTATTGCATTTTAAATTTCAGTCTCCACGTTTACTGATGGCATATAGAAATACAAACTGAATTTTAATTTTGTATTATATATACATAATATATTATAAAATTTGCCATGTTAACCATTTAGATATACAATTGAGTAGCATTAATTGGATTTACAATGTTAACAAACATTTTCATTAGCTATTTGCAAAACTTCTTCATCATCACAAACAGAAGCCTTGTAATCATTAAAAGACAATTCCCAATTCTTCTCTACAGCCAATGGTAATCTTTAATTTATTTTGTCTCTATAAATTTGCCTACTCTGGATCCTTACTTCATATAATTGGAATTAAACAATATGTGTCTTTTTGTGTCTGGATTATTTTACTTAGGATGTTTCCAAAGTTCATCCCAATTGTAGCATGTATGAGAACTTCATTCCTGTTTATGGCTGAATAATACCCCATTGTATGTATATACTACATTTTGGTTTTCATTCATCTATTGATGGAAACAGGAGTTGTTTCCATCTTTTGCCTGCTGTGAATAATTTTGCAATGAACTGTGGCCTATAAGTATCTGTTTGAGTCCTTGTTTTGAATTATCTTGTGTATATACATAGAAATGAACTACTGAGTCACATGCTAATTATAATTTTAGTTTTCTGAGGAACCATTAAAGTGTGTTCAACACTGGCTGCACCATTTTTCCTTCCCACCAACAATGCACGAAGCTTCCAATTTCTCCACATTCTCACCAGCACTTGTTATTTTCTGTTTTTATTTAAAATAATAGCCATTTTAATGTGTGTAAAATGATATCTCATCATAGTTTTGATTTACATTTCCCTAATTACTAGTGATTTTTTTCATGTACATATTGGCCATCTTTATGTATTCTACAGATAAATGTCTATTCCCGTTCTGTGACCATTTTTTAATTGGGATGTGTGCTTCTGTTGCGGAGTTTTGGGGTTTTCATATATTCTACATATTAATCACTTATCAAGCATGCAATTTGCAAATACTTTCACTCGTTCTGTTGGTTGCCTTTTTACTCTACTGATGGTGTCTTTTAAGCTGGTAATTTTAATGAAGTCCAGTATGTCTATTTCTTTTTGCCTTGTTGCTTATGTTTTTGGAGTCATCTCTAAGAAATAATTGCCAAATTTAATGTTCTGAAGGTTTTTCCCCAAGTTTTTCTTCTAAGAGTTTTATAATTTTATTTCTTACATTTAGATATTTATGATAGCTTTTTACATATTTGTCTTATATCTTACAATCGTGCTCGACTAACTTATTAGTTCTAGGAAGTTCTGTTTGTGTGTTTTACATAATCAGGAACGTCTATGTAGAAAATCATGTTATGAGCAAATAGTCTTATATGTTTTTTTTTTCTAATTTGTATCCCTTTTATTTCCATATTTCTTATTGCACTGGCTAGAACTTTCAGCACTATATTGAATAATTATAGTGGGAGATGACAACTTTGCCCTATACCCATCTTAGAAGAAAATCATTTAGTCTTTCACAATTAAGCAAAGGGTAGGGTGTTCGTATTTCTGTATATTACATGCTCTTTTATCGAGTTGGGTAAGTTCCTCTCTCTTTCTATTTTTCTAAGAGGTATTTTTGTTTCATTTAGTGTTGTGTGTATGTATTTTTTGTTGTTATTTTGCATTACGAATAGGTGTTTAATCTTGAAAACAAATTTTCTTCTGCATCAATTAGTGTGACCATCCATTTCCTCTTTTACTTGTTAACATGGTCAATAGTATTTATTGATTTTCAAATGTTGAACCAGACTTTGATGACTAAAATAAATCCTATTTGCTCAAGAGGTATAATTCTTTCTATATGTTGGTTTATTTTATGGCTAATATTTTATTAAGGATTTTTCTCCTACATTCAAGAGGGCATATTGGTCAATAGTTTAATTTTTGTGTATTCCCTTTGTCTGACTTTGATATCAGAGTAATACTAGCTTTATATGATAGATTTTGAAGCTTTATTTTCACTTCTAATTTTTCAGAAACATTGTGTATAATTGTTGTGTTTCTTTAACAACATTTGGACTAGAGGGTTTTTTTAGGGGGAGCAGGAGGAGGTGGGTGGTATTAAATGATAAATTTATTTTCTTTAATTGTTATAAGGCTATTCATGTTATCTATTTCAAAGTGAGTGAGTTGTGGAATTTTTTTTTTTTTAGGAATAGTTTTATCAAAGCTGTCCAATTTAACTATGCAGATTTATTCAAAGTATCCCACTATACTTTTAGTATCTGCAAGGTCTGTAGTGGTATCCCATATTTCATTCCTGTGGGTTTTTCTGCTACAGTATGGAGAGTTACTGTCTAGAAGTTTTCTGTGTTTCCAGGTTGCTCCTTTCCTGTTCCTTTGGCTAGAGAGAGGAGGTCTTTATTAAGACTATTTTTGCTTGTGCCTTTGGTTTTTTCCAGCTTGCTCACTCCTTGTTTTAAGTCTGGGATATATGGGAAAAGAGAAAACTCAGAAATTCACCACCATACCATTCTTCAAACTCTCCTTTTTTAAAAGTTTTCTTATGTTTTTGTTGTATATAGTGTCTAGGATTTTTGGTTGTACTTAGTAGAAATAATAGAGAATGGTTCATCTTCATCTTCCTGAAGTGGCATTTCCAGAAAGTTTTATGGACAGCTTTTTAGTTGATTCTACCCGAGATTATACCCCAATAGGAGTAACCCAGTAGAGCACTGTTGGAAAAGTAAGTATCACAATTCTGATCCTTAGTCTATCCTTTGACAAATTATCTTCTATGGCATTCAGTTTGTTTATTTATAAAATTGGAACAATAAGTCCTCTACCCTAAAAAGAATGTTGATAATGCATCTAAAAACCCTTGCTTATAGTAATACCTTCCATCTGATCTTTAACAAATAGATTTGTCCAATTTTATAGATAGCAAATGTTCATTGAAAAAATATGTAGGAAAGTCACAAAAGCAGAAAAGAATTTATGAAACCAATATTTTCCCCAGAACTCAAAATAATCTATATTTAACATTTTTATGTATTTTTATCAGCATTCCCTAAATGCTTAATATTATTTCATGCTATGATAACCCACTTCTAAAACAAAATATTTTAGCTTTTAGATCATAGTTACAGCTTTATCTACCAAGCTTGCAGTAAGATTTATGATTTCTCTCCTTGTTTTCACACAGAGTTTTAGTGAACACTGTCTTTATAAACGTAAGCTGCTCTTAATAACTTAATTACAAAGGAAATTCAGTTATTTAATTTCAAAATACAATATTTCAAAGGAAAATTGTACCTTATTACATAAATAAGATAAACACACAATAACAATAGTTGCAGTTATTTTTTGAGCAGTTAATAAATAAGAAGTTCTTTATTGGTAATATCAAATGTTTATACTATAATATAAATGGATTCTAGAAACATTATCATAGTGGCTTCTTCTTGGCTCAATAAACGCAATTTTACTAATAATTCCTTTTTCTTCTCACTGAGGTGGCCCAAAAGGAGAATTTTCCACACAGTTTAAACTGCACTATATACTTCCATCAGATTGCCTCTCTAGCATTCCCACATAGATTTTGTTCACTATCTCTTTGCTTATTCCATGGAGACCTACTTGTATCCTGCTCCATTATTAGTGAATTCAAATGGAAACTTCCCATGAACTGTGAATAATTGATCCTATTTTTTTTAGTTTTTTTTCTTCTATCATCTTGACTACCATCCTCAATTTTCTTCATAACCCTGTCATTTCTTGCTGTGTCTTTGCTCCTCCAAGATTGCCGTCCTGTGACAATATTCTTCAAGAAGAGAGAAATGCATTCTTAGATGAATGAAACCTACAATGGTGTGAATGTCATCCAAAGTTCATGTGCCAGAAACTTAATTTCCAATGCAACAGTGGTGAGAGGTGTGTCCTGATAAGAAGTGCTTATGCCATGAGAGCTCTGACCTCATGAATGCATTAATTTTGTTATGGTGGAAATGGGTTAGTTATTGTGAGAGTGGCTTTCTTATAAAAGCAGGTTTTGACACTTCTTGCTCTCATACTCCCGTGCCCTTCGGCCATGGGATAATGTAGCACAAAGGCCCTTGCCAGATGCTGGTGCCAGGCTCTTAGACTTTACAGCCTCCAGAACTGTGAGCCAAATAAATGTCTGTTCATTATAAATTACTCAGTCTGTGGTATTCTGTTTTAGCAACACAAAAGAAACTATGACAAACTGTAAAATAATTGTAGGCATTATACCTACACTAAAAGAAATTGCTAAATTATGTTCTTCAAAAAGAACACAAGTTATACCAGAAGAAACAAAAAATATTAGAAATAAAAGAAGAGCAGCAGAACAGTAAATATCTATACAAATATAACAGATTATTCTCCTCTTGAGTTTTTAAAAAGTTTTATGGTTTAAGGCAAAAAAAGTAGTATTATTGAATGAGTATCAATATTTCAATAAATGTAGATGTATTACATAAAATGTTATAGCATAGATGGGGTAGAGGAAAATCTCTATTGCTGCAGTAAGGTTTCCACATTCAAAAAAGAAGTTGTAAACTACTAAGTGCAGTTAGATATTGGGGAGTTAACTATTACTATTTAATCACTAGAACAGCCATTAAAATATATAAACAGAGATATTTTCAAAATCATGATAGATCAATTAGCATAGAATCCTAAAACATTCAAATAATCCAAAAGCTGGGTGGAGCCTTCAAAGAGGGGAAACACAAACAAATGAACACACAGAAAACATATGATGAAATGATAGATCTATATCCAAATATTTAAGTAATTACATTAAATATGTGTTCTAAATACAACATACTGTCAGATTAGACTTTTAAAAATGACCCAACTATATGTTTTCTACAAAAAATAATTTCAGATATAATATGTTATAAAATAAAGATAGAAGAAGATATATCAAGCAAGTATTAATTAAAAGAAAAATAGAGTGAGTATATTAACATCAGTTAAAGTGGACTTCAGAGTTAATAATATAAATGCGCAGGGATAAAGAAGAATATTACCTATTGATAAAATGGTCATTTCACGAAGAAGATTATGATGATCCTAACTATGTGTGCACCAATAACTGAACTTCAAAATATGCAAAGCAAATAATGACAGAATACATCATGGCCAAGTGGAGTTCTTGCAATAATGTAACATTGGCTCAATTTACAAAAATTAATCTGTGTAATTCACCATGTTAATAATTTAAAGAAAATAAAACATAATTGTATCAATAAATGTAGATAAAACATTTGACAAAATTAAACACCCACTTATTGTAAAAACTCTAAGCATTCAAGTTTAAAAAGAAAGAAACTTATTTAACTCAGTAATTGGCATCTGCAGCATACTTACTGCAAATACCATTTTAATAGTGAATGAGAGAATGCTTTTTCTAGATCAGGAACAAGCTGATACTATCCAGTCTCACTACTCCTATTTATCATAAGACTCTAAATCTTAGTCAAAACAATAGACAAGAAAAAGAAATTAAAAAAGTAAAGTTTGCAAAGTAGAGATAAAATTACTCCCATTAACAAATGACATTCTTTTTTATAGAGAAATCCCAGGAATATACAAAAACTTTCCTAGACATGATAAGTAACTTTAGTAAAGCTACCAAATACAATGTGATCATACTAAAATTAATCATACTTCCATATTCAAGCAATAAACAATTGGAAACCATACTTTTAAAAGTACCATTTATTGGCCAGAAACAGTGGCTCATACCTATTATAATCCCAGCATATTGGGAGGCTGAGGTGGACACATTGCTTGAGCCCTGGGCAACATGATGAAACTCCATCTCTACAAAAAAAAAAAAAAAGTTAGCTGGGCATGGGGGTGAGCGCCTGTGGTCCTAGCTATTTGGGTGTCAGATGTGGGAGGATAGCTAGAGCCCAGGAAGTCAAGGCTACAGTGAGCCGAGATCACACCACAGCACTCCAGCCTGGGCGACAGAGTGAGTCTGTCTCAAAATAAATAAATGAATAAATAATAAAATAAAATACCATTTATAACTCCAAAAATATAAAATAAAATATTTTGAATATTACAGAAGGCTTATATAAACAGAGATAAATACTATGGAAAATTCAACACAGTAAAGATGTCAGTTCTGCCCAAACCAATCTTTAGTCTTAATGCAATATATGTGAAAATCCCAAAATCCCACGAAGTTTTGTAGACATACAGAAACAGAATCTAAAATATATAAGGAAAAGAAAAGGAATTAGACAAAATTATTAGTGACAATAATTTTGAAATACAACAATGTTTGAAAATAAGCATTACACAATTTTAAGAACATTTAGTATTAAATCTACAGTCAACAAAAATTGTATATTTGCAAACAGAGAGATAGGCACATAGATGAATGGACCAGAAGAGAATCCAGAAAGAGACCAACACAAGTATGACTTTTTGATAGCGCTCCACTTATTCTCATTCCACTGGGCTATGAAGCACATCTTCAGTGTTGTCCAACTTGTCATCTGTCAGGAGTTCAGAACTGGCATATTCATAGATAATGTCTCTAAAAATGATCCTGAGTGATAATTTTACATCCTCAACAGCCTAAGATTAACACTCAGATGATCCAGAACTTCCTATGTGATTTGCAGAGGAAACTCAGAGTGCAGAAAGAATCTTCGATGGAATGGCCTAAGATTGGAGATAATGAGAATCAAATTTGGGAAACCTCATGAATAATGACTCCATTTGGGGTGGCAGATTTCAGTAGCAGTTCCCATCACAATGCCCCCATGTTAGGCAAAAGCTGTTGCCTTTTATCATATTAGCACAGAACACATACTTATATAGTTGCATGAAGCATATCTTAGCAGAGTGTATTAGTCTGTTCTCACACTGCTAATAAAGACATAATTAAGACTGAGTGATTTATAAAGAAAAGAGGTTTGATTGACTCACAGTTCCACATGGCTGGGGAAGCCTCACAATCATGACAGAATGCGAATGAATAGCAAAGTCACGTCTTACATGGTGGCAGAAAAGAGAGCTTGTTCAGGGGAACTCCCATTTATAAAACCATCAGATCTTGTGAGACTTATTCACTACCACAAGAATAGTATGGGAGGAAACTTCTCCCATGATTCAATTATCTACCCCCAGGTCCCTCCCATGATACATAGGCATTATGGGAGCTACAATTCAAGATGTGATTTGGGTGGGGACATAGCCAAACCATGTCATTTTGCCCCTGGCTTCCCCAAAATATCATGTCCTTACATTTCAAAACCAATTATGTCTTTCCACCAGTCCTCCAAAGTCATAACCCATTTCATCATTAACTCAAAAGTTCACAGTCCAAAGTCTCTTCTGAGACAGCGCAAGTCCCTTCTGCCTATAAGCCTGTAAAGTGAAAAGCAAGTTAGTTACTTCCTAGATACAATGGGGGTAAGGCATTGAGTCAATACCGAAATAGATTGGCCAAAACGAAGGGGCTACAGGCCCCATAAAAGTCTGAATTCCAGTGGGGCAGTCAAATCTTAAATCTCTAAAATGATCTCCTTTTACACTATGTCTCACATCCAAGGCACACTGATGCAAGAGAGGGGCTGCCATGGCCTTGGGCAGCTCTGCCCCTGTGGCTTTGCAGGGCACAGTTCCCCTCCTGGCTGATTTCACTGGCTGGCATTGAGTGTCTGTGGCTTTTCCAGGCACACGGTGCAAGCTGTCAGTGAATCTACCATTCTGGGGTCTGGAGGACAGTGGCTCTCTTCTCACAGCTCCACTAGGCAGTGCCCTAGTGGGGACTCTGTGTGGAAGCTCCAACCCCACATTTCCCTTCTGCACTGCCCTAGGAGAGGTTTTCCACTAGGGCCCTGCCCCTGCAGCAAACTTCTGCCTAGACATCCAGGTGTTTCCATACATCCTCTGAAATCTAGGTGGAGGTTCCCTAACCTCAGTTCTTGACTTCTGTGCACCTTCAGGCTCAATACCATATGGAAGCTGACAAGGCTTGGGGCTCACACCCTTTGAAGCCATGGCCTGAGCTGTATCTCGGCCCCTATTAGCTATGGCTGAAGCAGCTGAGATGCAGGCACCAAGTCCTTAGGCTGCACAGAGCAGGGAGACCCTGGAATGTGTCCGCTAAACCTTTTTTTTTCTCCTAGGCCTCTTGGTCTGTGAAGAGAGGGCCTGGTATGAAGGTCTCTGACATGCCCTGGAGACATTTTCCCCATTGTCTTGGTGATTATCATTAGGCTCCTTGCTACTTATGCAGATTTATGCAGTCTGGTTGAATTTCTCCTCAGAAAATGGGTTTTTCTTTTATATCGCATCATCAGGCTGCAAATTTTTTTAACTTTATGCTCTACTTCCCTTGTAAACATAAGTTACAATTCCAAACCATATATTTGGGAATATATATAACTGAGTACTTTTAATAGCACCCAAGTCACATTTTGAATGCTTTGCTGCTTAGAAATTTCTTTTGCCAGATGCCCTAAATCAACTCTCTCAAGTTCTAATTTCCATAAGTCTCTAGGGCAGCGACAAAATGTCAGAAGTCTTTTTGCTGAAGCATAACAAGAGTCACCTTTGCTCCAGTTTCCAACAAGTTCCTCATCTCCGTCTGAGACCACTTCAACCCGGATTTCATTGTCCATATCATTATCAGCATTTTGGTCTAAGCCATTCAACACATCTCTTGGGAGTTCCAAAATTTCCCACATTTTTCTGTCTTCTTCTGAGCCCTCCAAACTGCTCCAACCTCTGCCTGTTACCCAGTTCCAAAGTTGCCTCCACATTTTTGGGTATCTTTACAGCAGCACCCCACTTTACAGGTACCAATTTATTGTATTAGTCTGTTACCATGCTGCTAATAAAGACATACCCAACACTGGGTAATTTATATAGGAAAACAGTTTAATTGACTTACAGTTCCACATGGGTGGGGAGGCTTCACAATCACTGTGAAAGGCGAATGAGGAGCAAAGTCACATCTTCCATGGCAGTCTGCAAGAGAGCTTGTGCAGGGATACTTCCATTTATAAAACCAGCAGATTTCATGAGACTTATTCACTACCATGAGAACAATATGGGAGAAATCGCCCCCATGATTCAATTATCTCCCACCGGTCTCTCCCATGACATTTGGGGATTACGGGAGCTACAAGTCAAGATGATATTTGGGTGGAGACACAGACAAACCATGTCAGAGAGGCCAGTGAAGACTCTGAAAACACTAAACAAAAAAAGTAGGTTATTCATGCCTCTCCTCTCTCCCTTTATGATCTATACACATTTTCTCAAGAAAAATTGTTACCTGGGAAGCTGACCAGTGAGGAGCAAAGGGAGAAGATCTTTTACAGCTAAAAAAATACCATTGAGAAGTTTGAATTTTATATTTATGTTTTCTCAACTCTTGTTTGACTTAGAGTTGCAAGGAATCAGACAATAAGATGCTATTATCATATGACTGCTGCATAATATTTACAATCCATTTGTTATAAATGACGCCCCACTAGAGAAGGTTAATAATAAATTAAAAGCAGTATTTTCTTCATGTTAAATTTTACTATATATTCTACATATATTTAGTTAGTAGCCTATTGTATTATGTTTCAAAACTCTCATAATAACAATAAAACAAATCAAACAAACACACCTTATTTTAAGAGAGCCTTTACCTTAATAAATGATTTCCCAATCATACAGAGTTTATTAACTTAGATATGTTTCAAATGAATTGAAAAAACAATTATTATTTGGACAATGTGAATGCTATTAGTTTATCCAATATATATTACTGTCGGTTAAACCTCCCAAAAATAAGAACATCTTTTGTCCCACTTTCTGAAACTTAAAAATAAGAATAACATTTGAGGTAGAAAAATCTAACATTTCCATAATCATCAAGTTAAATAATCCATTTAAAATATGCTTGTAAATTGAAATTTATTTGTACCTTAACACCAGAATTATCTTCTTTGGCTCATACCACAGATTACCACCAGATGGTGGTAGAAGACTGACTAATACTTTCAATATTATCAGTAGGCAAGGCATATGTGCTTGGCAGTTTTAAGTTTTTGCTTTTTTCAGTCCTTTTTCCACATCCAAATAATTTCTCAATTCTTTACTAATACAGCTTTATTCTGTGCATAGGACTGAGGCTATTGGGACCTGAGGGTTGCTAGGATTATAAAACAGTAAATAATAGAAGAAATAATTCTCACCCATCTAAATTTAAGAAAATGAAACAAACTCTCAGGAAGATTAAAAGGTTAGGGAAACATTTGTTAAATTTCTTATTTTCAAATAATTGTAGAAAAATATATAATACATTTTTCTATATGTAAATACTATATTTACATATTCTATATATTCTTTATACTATGTACATGTATAATGTACATGTATTATATTGTACCATGTATAATACAATTATTCATAAAATGAAAGAAAAACATCTGCTGTGTGAAACCTACTACTTCAGCATGTACATGATAAGAAGTTTGGAATTCTTTTAATGTTCTATTATTGTTTCAATATCCAACACCACAAAAATATTGGAGTCTTACTTTCAAAGAATATGATTGACCTTGTGGCATTTTCGTATTGCACACAACACACAAGTGTGGCTTTGTAGGTACACAGGCAAGACACGCTATGGAAAAGAAAGTAAGAGTCAGGCTAACTTTTCCTGGTAGAACATTGTCAACGCTAAAAATGAATTTCATATTTTTTAACTCTTCCACTCTCTTTGAATTATTTCTCAATTTGACACATGACCTAAAATTCGTAATCCATTAGCTCCACATTAATTTTAATTGTTTCACAGATATGTTCATACAGAATTTTAAATGTTTGAAATTCTTGTGTAATGTGAAATCTAATCTTAATGAGAGGTATTTTTTCATTTGCCAGTAAAAATTCCTTAAAATGTTTATTTATATTATTTTCAAGAATAAAATAAAATGTATAACAAAAAATCTTTTTTGTTATTTTAGGATTCCTAATACATTCTAGAGTAAAGGATTATTTTTATTCCTTTGCTCGTCTATTAAATACTTTAATAGAATAGCATCTTTAGCATTTTCATCATGGATTTTAATTTTTTTCATCTTTTCCATAGACAAGCATATTCACAAACCTAACCACTTCAGCCAAAGGTCAACTAAAATAAAAGTTGTGGCATGATGTGATTAAAAATTAGGATTATTTTGAGGGTTTAGCAGTATATGATTCAACAAATAAAAATAATTTATATATTTGTGTGACTCTCCTGATAAATATTGTGCTTGAATTTTAATAAGAATGTGTCTAAATTTATTTTATCTCAAATTAACAAGTGAAAAAAACATGCTTTTATCATTAATAGACATTGTTCTTCATTTCTGAAGAAACCTTCAGGAAAGCAATGTATATTAAAATATAATATTACATTTTAAATGTTTTTGTTTTGGTAGCTCGCTCACTGAGGGCTTGGCAGAAATATTGCACACAATGATCAAGTTAAAATGAGATGGGTTTTGATTAAGTTAGTTTTTATTGCGTAAATGTGGAATAAAAGTAACTAAAACTTGGCAATATTAATCATATATAATTCTTATTTTATTTTCCTTTATTCTATTTTGGCATTCTTCTGTCACTACCTTCAGATACTTTCAAGACAGCACAAAGTTTATTTCAGTTTCTGCAGTAATGCCCTGTGGCCATTTCAAAACTTGAATGAGTGGCCTAAAGTTCAAACCATTGGGCTTACTTAAGTTCATTTTTAAATATATGTATTTAAAAAATGTAATCGTTATTATTCCTCTCTGTTCTCTAAAATATTACCTAGGGAAAAAACTAAGTCTGTATATCTGCTGGGCAGCAATCAGCTTAGAGCTGAGCGGTGGCTGAGCTATTTAGACTGAGTGTGTATGTCCAGTTCCTCAAAGTTTGTATAATTACCTATTGGATTCCTAAAAAAAATGATCTTAAATGTCAGTTATCATTAATTACCACATAGTGCTGTTGTGCTTTACTATAATTGTGCAATCTTTTTCTGTCCTTGTGTCTCTCTCAAAGATGAAAAATAAAAGTAGATCAAGAAAAGTGGCAAGAAAAACGAGAGAAAGTGTACAAATTGTTATGAGTGAGCATTCTTTTTTTGCATTGTTAATAACTCTTAAGCTCCTGTAGAAACAGAAATTTGTTATTCTTATTTAAAACCTGTCCGAAATAATTCCATGCCTTAAAATTTACCTGTTACAAGAAAAGTTGTATGGCTACATTTTCATATTCAAAAAATACAATGTAACAAATAGTTCCTAAATTGTTGCTGGATAACTCAGGCATTACCAGAATACATCTCTATACCTATAGGAATTCTTGGATTCTCCATAGATAGCTCTATTTTTTCTTTGTTATTTCAGGTAACATAACATTCTTTTAAGCAGTAGCTTTTTGGAATAGATTGTGGTCAGCTTTCTATAGGTACAACTATAATGGAAGTTTTCATATAAAGAGCAGGCAGATGAGCTTCGTTGTTAAAAAAATGATGCTTTCTTATTGCATTCAAGATATTCCAAGCAATTTTGAATTAAAAAAACAGGATTCTTTATCTCAGTTTATCACTTCAGATTTTCAAAAACTACCTCCCTTAAGCATTCTGAGCTTTAGCCACAGAAAATTACTAAATAATCCTGTCATGTCATATTCATATATGACCTCCAATAATTTTTTTTCTCTCATTCTTGAAATCAGGAACACTTCTGAAGTTCCATCAATTTTTCAAAATCTTGTTCAATGGTTATATATTCTCAAAAGTTGTTGGCCCGTATCTTCCAAAAATCATTTATTTTCATAATATTTTCTCCCTAATTATAATTATAAAACTTTTTGCAATATACTTATTAAAATATCAATTACACATTTAATTTGTAATTTCATAGCACTGAATACAATATATGGCACATAGTAGGGTTTAATAAACTTGTGCCTTATTGAAAGAATACAAAGATACAAAATTTAAATATCAAAGTAGATGTGAAAAAGAGAAGAGGTTAATTGTATATGTTAAATCCAAGTTCTCAAATTTTCTGCTCCTGTTGGAGGTACAGACTCTGGAGTCTAACTGCCTGGGTGTAAATATTGATCACTTTGTAGCTGTATTCTCCAAGTCAGGTTTCTTAACACTTATGTTTTTTTCCTTCATTGTCGAAATGAGGATGGCAATAGTTTTTATTTTAGGATTATAATCAGGGTTAAAGAAGACAATATATACAAGGGCTTAGAATAATGCCTAGCAATAATGCATACTCCAGAAGTATTTACTATAATTAATATTATTGTGCTGAGACCAGCTAGGTTGGGGGGATCCTAACTCAGCAGCGATAGAGGAATTAAAGACACACACACACAGAAATATAGAGGTGTAAAGTGGAAAATCAGGGGTCTCACAGCCCTCAGAGCTGAGAGCTCTGAACAGAGATTTACCTACACATGTATTAACAGCAAACCAGTCATTAGCATTGTTTCTATAGATATTAAATTAACTAAAAGTATCCCTTAAGGGAAACGAAGGGATGAGCTGAATTAAAGAAATAGGTTGGGCTAATTAACTGCAGCAGGAACATGCCGTTAAGGCATAAATCGCTTATGCTATTGTTTGTGGCTTAAGAATGCCTTTAAGTGGTTTCCGCCCTGGGCGGGCCAGGTGTTCCTTGCCTTCTTTCCCGTAAACCCACAACCTTCCAGCATGGGCATTAGGGCCATTATGAACATGTCACAGTGCTGCAGAGATTTTATTTATGGCCAGTCTTGGGGCCAGTTTATGGCCAGATTTTGGGGGGCTTGCTCACAACATTATTGAAAAGTCTACATTTTGAAGCACTAAACATTTTTTTTCTGACCACTTTAAATCTTAGTGCAGACATTTAAAAATATGGTTTCATGAGTGGTCTGGTACAAAAAAGGGATATTTAAAAAGTAATAAAAGAATCATGAAATAATACTCAATAATAAAAATGAACAAGCTATTATTCAGGCAACAACTTGGTTGAATTTTTAAAAAATTGTGCTGAGTGAAAAAAGCCAGTCTTAATAGATTGAATACAGTATTATTCCATTCATGATAATATTATAGTAATGGAGAATAGATCAGTGGTTATTAGGCTTAAGGAAGTGGGTGGGATGGGGAATGTTTATAAAAGGGCAGAATGTGGATCCTCCTGGTGACAGAACAGTTCTGTATATCGAATGTGGTGTTGGCTACACATACATGAACCTAAACTTGATAAAAATGCACAGAACTAAATGTACACACACACACGCATGCTATTCATAATGAGAACAGCTTAGAGAAGCAAATTGGAAAATGATACAAATGTAATCAGAGATGTCCTTACAATGACTGTGCAGATATCAACTATATGAATGAAAAGAATGCTAACTTCAGCAAAAACTTGGAAAGATTCTGTGGGAAATATACTGAAATTTAAGAAATCTTGCAAAGGGAAACAGCTGTCTGATCTGCTTGAGGAATTACCTTGACTGCCAAATTGTACCGGGAAACCTGACTCTGTCTATACCTTTCTACTTGGAAACAAGTGCTCAGTGAATATCTGTGCATTTCATGCTAATATATTTCTTATTCACTTGTTTTAGAAAATGCCATGTCATGTATTTCTGTGGATAAAGAGAAGACATAAAAATAAGTACAAGTAAGGCTTGGGAAATCTTAAAAAGTTTGGCTGCTTGAATCAATACCAACATCCTGGTTGTAATATTATACTAAGTTTTGCAAGATGTTATCTTTAACAGAAACTGGGTAAAGCATACATGAGTTCACTCTGTATATTAATTTTATATCTGCATGTGAATCTATAATGATCACAAAATGTAACATTTAATTAAAATTTATTAAGGATCAGGCTCATGATTTGTTCCAAAATATTTCAGTAATACCTAAGCATCTATTTCTATTTAGGGATTAAATTAGGTAGTTATATGTACTATAAAAGAGTAGGATCAAAACATTGATCTTGTTACCATCTCCTTTTGCTTTTGTTGCATTTCGTGAACAATAAAGAACAGAAAAAAGTAAACTTAATGGTATTTATATATTTCATACAAGCTGTTATTAAATAAGCAGTCCATATTTATTATAATATTAATTAATTCAAATCTGAAATGATAGTCTTTTCTTGATGGTTATCTAGCTGATTAATTCTTTTCACATGTACTTTCATATAAGAAATCCTCATCTTTGAAGATTAAGTATTTTCCCCACCTTTCACATTTGAGGTAAGGAATATCTAACAAAACCTAATGCCAGGCAATCTCTGGGTAGTACAGACCAGACAATTATTAACAATTTAGATAAAACAAAAGATTTTTCTAGAAAAGGAGTGATTTAATATTAACATTGTTTGAAACTGCTGATTAATTCTTTTTACATGTACTTTCATATAAAAAATCCTCATCTTTGAAGATTAAATGTTTTCCCCACCTTTCACATTTGAGGTAAGGAACATCTAACAAAACCTAATGCCAGGCAATCTCTGGGTAATACAGACCAGACAATTATTAACAATTTAGAAAAACAAAAGATTTTTCTGGAAAAGGAGTGATTTATTACTAACATTGCTTGAAACTACCAAGCCATAGTGATAATACAAAGCAGTCTAGCTTTTAGATGATTTGATTGCTATTTTTAAACTCCGGATGGATAATGGAATAAATACCCTCCCCCCAACACCCCTTGTTCACTATCTACCCTTTCTCACCCCTCATTAGGCCTCGGTCCTTAATAATGTTTCTCACTTCCTTCCCTGCCCTTAGCATGATACATGAATCCTAGATCAAAACAGAAATCCTATCTGTCCTAGAGTCAGCCCAATCATATTGTAGAATTCAGAAAAGGCATAAAAAATCTAGCAACTTCCTGGGATATGTCAGAAGAGGCAACTGAAGGAGATGGCCATGGAAAGAAAAGAGAAGAATATAAAGAGCTAAATAAAAAGATGTTAAAAGTTATCTGTTAAAGTAATAAGATCACAGGCCATTTTATCTGCACCAATCAGAAGGTTGCTAGCCTTAGATTTTTGAGTATTACATAGTATTTTTCATACTGGATTTGGGGAGGTTAAATGACACACCTGAATTCATATTGGATTTCATATTGAATGAATTGCAGACCAAAAACTTAGACTCAAGTCACTTGTTGACTCATTGACACACAGCATATTTAGTGCATAGAACTTGCACCTCATCAATAAATAAATACTATCTTAAAGTTTCATATAGTCTACACATGATACAACAGAATCAGAAAAATCAGGGAAAAAAACACTTATCTTTATGAATTAATATATTTTACTATTGTTTTGGTTACTTTTACAAGCACGTGCTATCAATAACTGGAGAAAGGAAAGCCTGCCTACCTTTTTTGTTCCTAATCTTATTATATAGCACACCAAGTCAAGGCCCATTACCTTCCTTGGCGTGCAGTAGATTATCTTCTAAGCAAACTCACACTTGGACTTTTTACCCTTTGACTTCCTGTCTCTCACTGATCTGGGTACCATACCAGAGGCTTTCCTATAAAAAACGGTTTAGGATTTTAAGATCCATAGTGACATAAATTAAATGAGAGCTGTCTCTGTGGAACAGTAAAACAAAAGCCATTTAACTCTTAGATTTGCTGACCTTTTGATCCTGCATTTGCAAAGAAAGTACTACTGGATCAGGGTCTTGGCTTCTAAGAAGCCATTGAAATGGGCCCAGTAAAGTTTTTAATATTTTATTAGAACATTTTGCTACCTATTGTTTGTATACATCTCTCAAAGGGTGAGAATTTGCTTATGAGTGATTTTTAGAAGTGTGTATATAAAAATGTTTTTTCTAGCTTTAGTTTTCTTCAAAGTGGTTAATTTTCCCTTGGGCTTGATGATGGTACATTAAGTTCTACTTGCAAGAGGAAAGGTGTTTGTATACTTAGATGGAGACAATATTACTGACATTAAATAAAATTCCAAGAAGAAGCTGACTTACCTTTATTGATATAAAATATTAAAGCATTTATTCTCAAGCATTAAATTTGAAACAAGATCACAGGATTCCAGGTAAGGTCACTTGAGGTTGATTTGTTTTAGAAAAATGTGTGGTAAAGAAAAGCATCTTGAGATAGCCTGCCCCCATGATCAATTTTTTGTCATTAAAACAAGTGTTTTCAGAGTCTTCTCTTGGTATTTTTATAAGAATGTGGCCAGAACTGACAAATAGAATAAAACCTTAATGTAAAATTTTATGAATAATTTTTAAAGAAAAATATGTATACCAATGTGTTAAAAAACATTTTAAATATAAAATTGCAAACACCATGAAAGCAAATTAAACTTTTGTAAGGTCATTTGATGTCATTGTCTACCGTGATTGAATGGCCATACCCCTAGCTCAGATAACCAACTTAAAAAATTTCATGAAAGGTGTATGTTTCTGCAAGACAATGCTAGATTTTCTAATCATTTTTTTCTAGATCCATTATTTCTCTCCCAAAGTGACATATATTACCTAATGCATATGTCCTAAAGTGACATATATTACCTAATACTAAATACTAATCTTCAGTGCAACAATACAAACTAGAGCAGGTGTATAGCTCCATGTAACAAAATAAATTATTAATGTAGTCAAATTCAGAAAGGCTCATTTGATTTATAGATAGATCTAAGAGAGATAATTGCATATGCTTTTGTTTTGTTCTATTTTCTCCCAAATTGAACACTCTGCTGTTCTGTAAACATTTAATAAACATTTAATATAATCCAATATTAAAGATGGCAATTTTAAGAAAAAAAACCTGGTAAATTTTTCCAATTTTTCTCATTGCTTGTGTTGTGCTATTTTTCAGTAAATATATTGAAATCACATGATTATTGCTGACACTATTCAATTAATTTAGCATATGTAACACAAACACAATTGTTTCCTATGTTGATCTTCATTTGTTCTTCAATTTACTCTTCCATTAATTCATTCAGCAGCTATATCTTGGGTAATTTCTGTGATTCACAACTAGTGCCAAACACTGTTGAAACACAACAAAGTATATGCTGTTAGAGTCTCTTTTTTTCAGGAGCTTGTCTTTGTTTCACGTTGCTGTAATGGAATACCTGAGATTGGGTAATTTATAAAGAAAAGAGGTTTATTTGGCTTATGATTCTGGTGGCTAGCAAGTCCAAGATTGGGCACCTATATCTGGTGAGGGCCTCATGCTGCTTGCACTCATGGTGGAAAGCAGGACAGTGAGTGAGTGCAAAGAGATCACATGGTGAGAAAGAAAGCAAGAAAGAAAACCAAGGAAGCCTTTTTAACAACCTACACTGGAGGGAACCAATCCTTTGGTTCCAATCCTCTTGGAACCTTCTTTGGAACCAATCCTCTTGTTTTCTGTGAAAGCAAGAACTTATTCACCCACTCTGGAAGGCATTAATCTATTCAAGAGGGATCTGCTTCATGACCCAAACACCTCCCATGAGGCCCTACCTCCCAACACTACCACATTGGTAATCAAATTTTAATATGAATTTTTGTGGGGCCAAACAATATTCAAGCCATAGCCAAGCTCATGGCTAAAAGTGTTAGCAAAGTGAATAAGCAAGTGCCTTGTTGCATATGAAAAATTCAATGGTGCTTTAAAACAAATAGGCGAAATGACTGTAGAGGATCAAAAATAAGCTGACAAAAGGATTTGGCGGCTAAGTTGGCACCTGTATGAGAAGTAGAATTTTAGATAGTCAAAACTGAGAAGGGTGTTTCCAGTAGAAACAAACAAAAAAACAAAAACAAAAAGGCACAAGGGAAGAAGCAGAGGAGGGTAAGTGATAAGTATGGCTTAAGAGTTTTTGCAAAAGGTGTGGTAAAGGCAATGACGAGGGGCCAGATCGTAATTGGTTCATCTGAACTTTGATATATTGCAGAAAGGAACAATTGAATATGCAGGAGTTGAAGAGAACATGTCCTTCTGTTCAGATAACAGATACAAATGTAGAATTATTTGTGTTTATACTACCCACATAGTATTTTGGATATCATATTGAAATTGAGAGAACACATATCTGTCCATCATTCTTTGTCAGAAAAAAGAATTATTTCAGGACCCTGGATCTAGGTTGATTTTTGAAAGTAAAAAGTTACATTTAAAGGTGCAGAGTGAAAGATGGAAACAATAGAGGAAAACTCAGAAAAAGAGTTGGGCATTCTAATATCAAGATCAGTAACTTTATTTCATATTTGTAATATAATTATTTTCTTCTGCCAACAAAAAGACAATTAGAAAAGTGGCCTGTTCTATCTCCTGGCTTCTGTTTTCTCCATGAACTATGCATTTCCATTTTCATAGGCACAGAGCAAAATATATATCTCTATCTATATATGGCTATATATGTATAAATGCATATGGATGTGTGCAGAATTCTATAGCAATATATAATTCAGATAGGACTGATAAGAAACAAAATATTACAGAGATATTTAAATTGTTTTGAGGAATAAAATATTATAATTTTAAACACATTGATTTAGGAACTAAGTACAATTTCTGAAGTTTATTTACAATGATATACCCAGAATTAATGATAGTTCAGTGTATACTATCAGAAGGCTGTCTTTATAAAGGTTTTAGAGTTTCTTTGTTTTATGATTTACAACTATTCATCAGGGTTATTTTCAGTTTGTTGTTGTTGTTGTTGTTGTTGTTGTTGGGGGTTTTTAATCAAGACTGCTTCTAACCTCTGTTTTCAAGACTACTGAAATTAGGCAATTAACAACATTAGTGTATTGATGGTCTTGTCTGTAGGAATGGTAATAGGCTTCAGAAGATTAATAGCATGAGTATAGTTTCATAATGCAACATCTGCAGGATAACCATTAAGCATATTTTCCATGGTGATTTCTATTCTGGCACCTATAACAGAATTCATGATATTCAGCTAATAATGTAAACTGACCAAATATGTATGTGAAAACCTTGTTCCCCCATGGATACGTGCTATAGAATGAGGGCATTAGTACTTGGGTTATGAATAATTCAAATATAACATAATTGACCAATAACATTACACATTCAATTCACCTGTATTGTGCCTTGAGCTGAATATTAAACAAAAGCCAATAAACTTAACTAGCTAATTAATATTTTCCATCAATAAGAAAATTTCATACACACATTTATTCATTATAAATACTAACTGAACCAATATTTTTAAAGTTTTCTGATTATTTTAACAAAGGAAATATATGTGCAAAGTGAATTATATTTTTCTTTTTAAATTAGGAATATACATAATAGCCACATTAATTATAAAGATACACGCAGCTCATACGATCCTTTCAAGCTCAATAGGGTACAATAATGCACATTAACAGGCAACATGAAGAAGCAAATCCTCCATATCTGTCCATCCCAAGTAATGTCTGATGAATCCATTGCATATACCCATCTGCAGTTGAAAGGTCTCCTTTTACCTAAACCCATTTTTTTCTCCATTTCAGGTCCACATGGGAAGCTTATTCAAAACAAGCAGAGAAAAATGACTATGTGAGTACAGTCTCCTGTATGAACACAAATTATTGTCTTTGGCTTTCATCTCACCTTGGGTTCACATTTGTGACTTCCCCAGAGGGAATATGTACAATTTTCCAATACCTTCTTAATGTTCCTGGTAGAGTCATAAAAGGTATCATTTAGAAGGACATATTTAAGCTGGGTCAAGCTCAGCAACGGTAGGTCAAAAATCATGAAGTAATTGGGAATTTTGTGGGGATGATGAGAAGTTCAGTGTCATGGGGTGATTCCATGAATTGTAAATTAAAGACAGGATGGTGATAGGGCAAAAGTTTATGATAAAGAGTTTATCTGAGTTTAGATTATAAGCATTGCTGTTCTCCACATTAATGGGATTTGATATTAACCTGGAGATAATGAAAATAATTAAAAGATAAAGCATTACCCATGCTGGTGGCTATGTGAATAGCGGCTCAGTTGAGAAAGGATCACCAGAAAAAATCTTAGGAGGCTACAATCACTGCAAGATTGTAAATGTGAGATGATGAAGGACAATGAAGGCCTAATAAATAGGGACCAAGATATAAATAAGTAAGGACTGAGAAATTTGAAAACTCTAACTGAGGTAGATCAGACAGATTTGATAATAGACAGTGCAAAATAGCAGGGAGTGAATGGAGAGTCTAAAATGGTGCCAAATTTTCCAGTTTAGCAGACAGGGGTGTGATCACTCTATTACAAAAGAAATTATAAATTGAAGCAAATGCTTACCTGTGAGAAAAAAAGTTTGGCTTTTGATTTCAGTTTGAAGTCCCTATATATTTAAGTAAATAGGATCACTTGATCCTATATGGAAATAAAATTTGGAAAGAAAATTTGAAGCTCAAGATATTAATCATAACAATGGGAATAGATGACATCATCCGTGGAGAAAAAATAAAGGGAAAACAGAGGAGTGGAAAATCTCAGCTTAAAGGAAGAGGCATTTTTGTTTCCTATTTCTACCACAAATAGCATTGGAAATTTGATAGTGATTGCAATTAATCTGTAAATTGCTTTGGAATATTTTAGCAATTAATTCTTCCAGTTCACACACATGGAATCTCTTTCCATTGATTTGTGTCTTCTTCAATTCCTTCCATCAATGTTTATTGTTTTTAGTGAACAGATATTTCACTTCCTTTGTCAAATTTATTCCTAAGTACTTACTTTTTGATGGCATTATAAATGGAATTGTTTTCTTGATTTATTTTTCACATAGATTATTATTTATGTGAAGAAATAATTATTTTTGTATGTTGTCCCCCATAACTTTACAGAGTCCATAGTTCTAACAGCTCTTTAGTGAAGTATTTAGGTTTTTTACATATAGGATCTCTGCCATCTGCAAACAGGTATAACTTTACTTCTTTCTTCTGATTTGGATCATTTTATTTCTTTTTCGTGTCTGATTGTTTTTGTTAGTACTGGAAGTACTGTGTTAAATACAAATGGTGAAAGTGGGCATTTTTACCTTGTACCAGCTCTTAGAGGATAAATTTTCATTTTTCCCCATTGATTATGATATTAACTATGGGCTTTTAATAAATGACCACTTTCGTGTTGAGAAAATACTGTTCTATACCTAATTTGTTGAGAGTTTTTATCACGAAAAGATGTTGACCTCTGTACAATGTTTTTTCCTGCATCTATTTAGAAGACACATGCACACGTATGTTTATTGCGGCACTATTCACAATAGCAAAGACTTGGAACCAACCCAAATGTCCAACAATGATAGACTGGATTAAGAAAATGTGGCACATATACACCATGGAATACTATGCAGCCATAAAAAATGATGAGTTCATGTCCTTTGTAGGGACATGGACGAAGATGGAAACCATCATTCTCAGCAAACTATCCCAAGGACAAAAAACCAAACACCGCATATTCTCACTCATAGGTGGGAACTGAACAATGAGAACATATGGACACAGGAAGCAGAACATCAGACACCGGGGCCTGTTGTGAGGTGGGGGGAGGGAGGAGGGATAGCATTTGGAGATATACCTAATGTTAAATGATGAGTTACTGGGTACAGCACACCAACACGGCACATGTATACATATGTAACTAACCTGCACGTTGTGCACATGTACCCTAAAACTTAAAGTATAATAAAAAAGAAAAAAAAGATCATGTGTTTTTTATATTACATTTCTTTAGTGTGATACATCACATTGAATGCTTTGCCTATAAAACATTAACCCTACATCCCAGAGAAAATAATGAATAGCCAAAACCATCTTGAGAAAAAAAAAAAAAACAAAGTTGGAGACATCAAATTATTAAAAGCAATAGTAATAAAAACAGGCACACAGACCATTGAAACAGAGTAGAGAACCCAGAAGTAAACTCAAACAGTAATTTTTTACAAGGTCACAAAGAAGGCACATTGGAGAAAGGACCATATCTTTCAGGGTTAGGAAAACTGAACACCTAAATGCAAAATAATAAAACTGGACCCCTATACCATACATTTTGCTTCAAAAGAAGCAAATGAATTAAAGAACTTAATGTAAGACTTGAAACCATAACCTTCTATCATACATAGGGGAAAAGATCCCTGGTATTGATATTGGCCATGATTTTACAGATATCTCACCAAAAGCACAGGCAATAAAAGCAAAATAAATAAATAAATAACTGGAACTATGTCACACTAGAAAGCTTCTTCACAGCAAAGGAAATATTCAACAAACTGAAAAGCCAACAGATTTGGAGAAAACTATATGTGAACCACATATCAAATAAGGATATAATATCTAAAATATATAAGAAACTCATAACTCAAAAGCAAAAACACAATCACAAAATGGACAAATGACCTAAATAAGCATTTTCCAAGGAAAGCATAAAACATATCCAACAGTTGTGTTAAACGGTACTCTAAATCAGTAATCATCAGGGAAATACACATCAAAACCACAGCGAGATAAGTATTAGCAAGGGTGTGAGAAAATAGATAAAATTTGTCCTTTGCACACTTGGTGGCAATGTAGACTGTTGCAGCCATTGTGGAAAACAATATAAAGTTTCCTTAAACAATTAGAAATAACACTGCCATATAATTCAGCTATCTCACTTATGGGTATATACCCAAGAAAATGAAATTATCACCTTGTAAACATATCTGCACCTTTATGTTCATTGCAGTATTATTCATAATATCTGAGCTATGGGGAAAAATCTGTATCCACTAGCAGAGGAATGGTTAAAAAAAATGGTGATATACATATACAATGGAATACTTTCAGCCTTTTAAAAGGAGATCCTGTCATTTTTGACAACATAGATGAACCTAGAGGACATTATGCTAAGTGAAATAATCTAGGCACAGAAAAACAAATATTGCATGATCTCATTTATACGTGGAATTAAAAAAATAAATAAAACAAAACAAACCCAAAATAAACAAACAAAACAAAACTTGAATACATAGGAACAGGGTACAACAGTGGTTACCAGGGTCTGTGAGTGGTGGAGAAGAAATGAAGAGATGGAGGTTAAAGGCCACAAAGTTACAGTTATGTAGAATGAGTAGATCTAGAGTTCTAGTGTACAGTATGAAGTCTGTCATCAATAACACTGCATTGTGGCAGGGCACAGTAGCTCATGCCTGTAATCCCAGCACTTTGGGAGGCCAAGGTGGGTGGATCACAAGAGACCAAGAGTTCAAGACCAGCCTGGCCAACATAGAAAAACTCCATCTGTACTAAAAACACAAAATTTGCTGGGCGTAATGGCCTGTAATTCCAGCTACTCAGGTGGCTGAAGCATGAGAATCACTTCAACCCAGGAAGTGAAGGGTGCAGTGAGCTGAGATCACACCACCACACTGCAGCCGAAAACAAACAAACAAAAACACTACATTGTATACTGGCAATTTGCTAAGAGAGTAGGTGTTAGGTACTTTTATCACAAAAATGGTAACTATACGAAATAATCGATATGTTAATTTGCCTGACCATAGTACATGCACATCAAAACATCATGTGTATCCCTTGAATATATATAATTTTTTGATCTAACATGTTTATTAACACATTGAATAAAAATACATAATACCCAAAAAGTGAAAACAACTCAAATGTATACTAACTGTTGAACAGATAAATAAAATGTGATATATTTAATTTTATATGAAGTTAGACAGAGGTAGAATATCAGCATTGGAGATCATGATAAAATGACAGAGATATTGGAGAAGTAAAGGAGACAAAAGCTGCATTGAGGCCAACAAAGGGTATATAAAACGATGTTCAGAAATAGAGTCAGTCAGCATTGCTAGAAGGCATGAAGTCCTTTAGGATAATTAATAAAAGATAATGTTAGCCTTTGGCTATAAAAATTAGCAGGCAATTGGTTACCTTAAAAAGAAAATTTTCAATAAGTGGTAATGGTAGTCATTTAGTGTTTATCTAACTCACCAACTTTTAACAACTTTTGCATCATAAAATAGAAAAAATAATTTTTCAAAGAGTTATTTTTTATTTCAAAGCAGACATAAATCTACCCACTCGAATAAACTAAACTATTTGAGGTAGTTTGGATAGACACTTGAATAATTATTACCCTGTAAAAGATTTGTTTACGTTTACCTATTGACTATCTAGGGCAATATAAATTATTTAAATAATAATTAAACCTGTTGTGTATTATTGCTGATCTGATATTCACAGAGCAGGAATGACAGAAAATATAATTAGGTCATTCCCCATGTCCTTATAATATGGCAAAGCCAAGTGATTTGTATGCACATTACATTGCCTTTTAACCTTGCAAAATTATTTAGCACCTTTATCAAATTGGCACATGAATATACTATCTAAAAAAGAAGCTGGACTTTAAAACAAAAAACACAGAATCCTAAGGAATAAAGGAATCTGCAAAATCACCTCCTCCAAATTCGTAGATATCAGGCCCCCAAAGTTTAACTTACTTAAGGAAATATATTTAATCACGAGATGGCTAAACCTAGAACCCACATGACCATCTTTCATATGCTTTCATTACTTTGAAAGGGAAGATGCAAAGCTTGGGGTACTGATATTTCATTTTGTTACAGGTAGTTAGTTAGGCATGAGCAGGGCAGGAGAGTGCTCTCCTCCCACCCACTAGAAATGCTGGATGATGATTCGGCAATTATCTCATTGCCTCTCTAAACATGATAACTCAGTAGCCAGGGAGAGAAAGTCTCCTGATGGTACACACCTGTTAACATTAAAAATGTTAACTGAATGCATACCCCAGGGAGAAACATCTTCCTGGGCATGTACATTAAGGGACAAAAATGGCGAAGCATGATCTTTCGGGTATACCGCAACAGAAAAAGGAAGAAAACTTCAGATGGGCGTGTGTATAACTCCCTAAACACACTGCGTGTGCTCACTTCCCAAGGGTAAGGAGGGCTCTGCGCATGCGGGCAGCCCACCCCAAGAGAAGAATCATAGGAAAGAGGCGAGCTTATAAAAGTCCTAGGATCATGGTTAAACAGGGCACTTGACCTTCTCTCTTTAACCCTCACATGCCAAACTTCCGAGTGCACCTTCCTTTCTTTCCTGTTCTAAGGCCTTTTTAAATAAACTTCTGTTCCTGCTCTGAAACTTGCCTCAGCCTCTTTTCCTACTTTATGCCCCTCAGTCAAATTCTTTCTTCTGATGAGGTAAGGACTGAAGTTGCAATGGACCCGTATGCATATGCCACCAGTAACTCCATGTAACTTGGATCTCTTCCACCAGTAACAATTTAACATGAATCACTTTCTTCCATTCATTTGCACAAATGTGTATTATTTGTTTTAAAAATGCTTTAAAGGTTTATATTAATTTTCTCAAACTACTTCCATTTAAAAAAATGCTTTAATCTCAAGATGTTATTTCAAAGCAAATTTAGATTACAGGACTGATCAGTAATTAAAGATTATCATTGGTTACAATTTACTTAAACTAGTATTATAGGCATAGGATTGGCTCTATTTTGATAAGCCTTCAAATGTATGGGGCTGGAGAACTCACTGAAAAAGGTTAAGGTACAAATAACAACGTGAGGTCTCCCTAGAGTACAGTGCTTGAATCACATGCTTCCAAGAATAGCAAGAAGAGCATACAATTTGCCCACCATCTCTTCAAACCCCTTTTCAATTATAAATTTGTGTTCCCATGATGTCTTGAGGGGAAAATTATTACAGCTCAAGTCTATCTTAATACATGTTATAGTGAAGTAAAAATGGCTACTGAATTACCAGATTAATAAATCGTGTTCAAAACCAAGAACTTTCTCATGTCATTCCTGTTCCAGTGTAGCCATAGATTCTGTCCCTTGTTGTAATGAATCTTTGATGCTGGAATTTCTGCTTAGCAGTGTTATATTTGCTAGATGAGATCTGAGTTCAGTTGGCCATTCAGAAAGGAGGAATTGGGTTTTGCCAACCCTATTGTACTAAGCATCACCATTGTAGATGCAACTCAATGCAGCTTAGGAATGTGAGAGTTTGGTTGGTACTTGTGGACTTCAAGCCTCTTAAGCAGTGAGAGCATAGGTCCTATGGTTGAGGCCCAATCCTTCAAAAGTTACCAGTAAACTTTGTGAGCACTCTTCAGAACCATGCTTGGCTTTGAGACTTCCATCTCCCTGTAGACAAGATCCTAACATATTACTACATGATTTTATAACCATTGCCTTCAGTTTACATACAGAGAGACTCACCAGTGAAAGATGGTGAAGTCTTGGACCAGAATTGGTGCTGTGTCTACAGGTGCACAAAATCTAAAAGATGATTTTGTATTCCTCCCAAAAGACCACACAACACAGCCAAAGAATGTTTGATTATATTTATATTTATATTTATTTATTTATTTTGAGATGGAGTCTTGCTCTGTCACCCAGGCTGGAGTGCAGTGGCGCTATCTCAGCTCACTGCAAGCTCCGCCTCCTGGGTTCATGCCATTCTCCTGCCTCAGCCTCCCAAGTAGCTGGGACTACAGGCGCCCACCACCACGCCTGACTAATTTTTTTTTTTTTGCATTTTTTAGTAGAGACGGAGTTTCACCTTGTTAGCCAGGATGGTCTAGATCTCCTGACCTCGAGATCTGCCCGCCTCGGCTTCCCAAAGTGCTGGGATAACAGGTGTGAGCCACCACGCTCAGCCGGAATGTATGATTTTTTAAGCTGCTTGAATCGTAGAACGACTTGTCACATACCTTTATCCCAGAGGTACACATATGTAAACATAGAATACGAAATTTTTCTCAGGAAAGGCAGCTTCTGCTTCACAGTGATTCTCCAACTCTAAACATAAAGAAACAAAAATAAGAAAGATAATTTTTAAACAGACATTGCTTCCAGAGTCTTCTCATCCCAGGTCTGGAGAGATGTGCAAACCCAGGTGCAAAAAGAAAAAGAGTGGTAGACATCGAACATCAGCAAGGTTTGTGAATAGATCCTACACAATATCGGTGCTAGTATAAGCTTTCTTATTATGGGACTGAACCTTGGTGTATCTATTGTCTACCTTGCTGGGTAATTTCCTCTAATTCACAGCTTTGTTTTTTTGATCTATGTTTTCTTTTTCCTCTAATTTGCTTAAACTAAAGTATTAACAAAGGAATTGACTTTTTTTCTCCAAATCCCCATCTCAATCTAGGAATATTTAAAAAAAAATACTTGAAAACATTCTAAAATGCATTGAACACTTGCACAGTTATAGTATTAGAATTGTTCAAATCTTAAAATAAATTGCTTCCTTTGTCCTGCTTATTTGAAATTATATCTGTAGAATTCTGCAAATGAAGGCGAAATAGTTACTGTAAATGTTTTATTAAACCCAATTTGTTACTGATACAATTTCCTTTCTTTCCCGTGCCTTTATCCTAATCTCTCTTATTTTTCCTTATTTATTCTTTTTCTACCTTCCTTTCCTTTTCATTTTGGTTTTGGTTTCATTTTTACCATCTGGGAATTTTGGCATAAAATTATATTTTATACTCAGAAGAAGAATGCAGCAGTAGAGTACTATTGTCATTACTAGTAGTATGCTGTGTTTGGGGGTTTGGAATGGTTGCAGGATATAAGCTTGTCCAGGAGCGACTTTTCCCCTAGGTTCCAATTTGCATCAAAGATGGGTCTTAGACAAAGTCTGATGTACAAGCAGTTTATTCTGGCAGTTGTCTTACAAGTCGAATAGAAGGAACAAGCTGGCATGGGCTAGATACAGTCAGGGAGTCAGATGATTACCTGACCAGGAGGGTCTCCATCTAGAGACCATTCTGAGTTTGAGTTCTTCCTCCTTTTTTATACTCTTGTTCAGCCTGGGTCAGTTACCAGGAGTTCTTTCAAAAAGGGAGTTTAAGTTATTCCTGTAAGGGTAAGCATTGTTTTAAAGGTTCTAAGAACTGCATCTTTGCTGAGGTGGTTTTGTCTCCTGGAAACCTCCAGGCCAGGTTGCTTCACATTGCTGAGTGACACATAGTGTTGGCCCTGTGATGTGCATGAGTGAACCTTAGGGCTATCATCAATCTTATAGTCACATTACCTCTATAGTAGTAGTAGTGTCAAGATTAACACAATTATTATCCTTTTCTTTACTATGATCATTTTCATCTTAACTCATGCAAAAGTTGCCTGACTTTTAAATGTTAGCATTATGTTTCCCCAGATGTGTAGTGAAAGTCTCTCTCTAATTTATGAAAATGCTACTGTGGAATTAAAAGCGCAATGATGCAATGCAGGAAAGATCAATATCCTTATAAAATAGGAAATTAAATACACAGTGAGAATTGGTATATATATTTTAAAACATGGTGATGAGAAAAGGCCCTCAATATTATATGCTAGATTTTAGAATATTAGGAGATCTAATGAAGAGTATTTTGCAGATACTTCATTTGAAATGATTCTGCTTCTTCAATGTAGTAGAAATTAACTAGAATTATAGCTTGTCTTGAATTTTTATAAAACGTCTATATATGATATATATGATGAAATACTACTCAGCCACAAAAAGGAATGAATTAATGGCATTCACAGTGACCTAGATGATATTGGAGACTATATATATATATATATACACCATATATATATATACACCATATATATATATACACACCATATATATATACACCATATATATATACACTATATATATATATATATATATATATATATATATACACACACCATAGTTTTTTTTATCCACTTATTGATTAATGGGCATTTAGCTTGGATCCATAATTTTGCAATTGCGAATTGTAGTACTATAAACATGCATGTGCAGTTATCTTTTGTGTATAATGACTTATTTTCTTCTGGGTAGATACCCAGCAGTGGGAATGCTGGATCAAATGATAGTTCTACTTTTAGTTCTTTAGGGAATCTCCACACTGCTTTCCATACTATGGCTGTACTACTTTACATTCCCACCAGCAGTGTGGAAGTGTTCTTTGATCACCACATCCACGCCAACATCTACTGTTTTTTGATTTTTTTAATTATGGCCATTCTTGCAGTAGTAAGGTAGTATTGCATTTTGGCTTTGATTTGCATTTCCCTGATCATTAGTGGTGTTGAGCCTTTTATCATATGTCTGTTGGCCATTTGTATATCTTCTTTTGAGAATTATCTATTCACATCCTTAGCCCACTTTCTGATGGGATTTTTATTTTCTTGTTGATTTGTTTGAATTTGTTGTAGATTCTGGATATTAGTCCTTTGTCAGATGTATAGATTGTGAGGATTTTCTTCCACTCTGAGGGTTATCTGTTTACTCTGCTGACTGTTCCTTTTGCCATGTAAAAGCTCTTTATTTAAGTCCCCGCTATTTATCTTTGTTTTATTGCATTTGCTTTTGGGTTCTTTGTCATGAAATCTTTGCTCAGTCAGTGTCTAGAAGGGTTTTTCCAATGTTGTCTTCTAGAATTTTTATAGTTTCAGGTCTTAGATTTAAGCCCTTAATCCATCTTAAATTATAAAAATCCATTTTGTATAAGGTGAGAGATGATTATCCAGTTTCGTAATTCTACATGTAGCTTACCAATTATCTTGGCACCATTAGTTGAAAAGGTGTCCTTTCCCCACTTTATGTTTTTGTTTGCTTTGTCAAAGATCAGTTGGATATAAGTGTCTGGGTTTATTTCTGGGTTCTCTATTCTGTATTTGGGTTTATTTCTGGGTTCTCTATTCTGTTCCATTGGTCTATGTGCTTTTTTTTTTTTCTTTGGCAGAGGCTGGAGCACAGTGGCGTGATCTTGGCTCACTGCCTCAGCCTCCCAGGTTCAAGTGATTCCCCTGCCTCAGCCTCCCGAGTAGCTGGGAATACAGGCACGCGCCACCATTCCCAGCCTAATTTTCTGTATTTTAGTAGAGATAGGGTTTTACCTCACAATCTGCCCACCTTAGCCTCCCAAAGTGCTGGGATTACAGGCGTGAACCACCGTGCCTGTCCTATGTGCCTATTTTTATATGAGTAACATGCTGTTTTGGTGACTTTAGCCTTATAGTATAGTATGACATCAGGTAATATGATACCTCTAGATTTGTTCTTTTTGCTTAGTCTTGCTTTGTCTACTCAGGCTCTTTTTCAGTTCAACATAAATTTTAGAATTGCTTTTTCTAAATCTGTCAAGAATGATAGCAGTATTTTGATGAGGATTATATTAAATTTGTAGATTGCTTTTGACATTATGGTCATTTTCTCAATATTGATTCTACCCATCCATGATCATGGGATGTATTTCCATTTGTTTGTGTCATCTATGATTTCTTTCAGCAGTGTTTTTTAGGTTTCCTTGTAGAGGTCTTTAGCCTCCTTGGTTAGGTATATTCCTTTTTTTTTTGCAGCTATTGTAAAAAGGGTTGAGTTCTTGATCTGATTCTCCATTTGGTTGCTGTTGTTGTATAGAAGAGCTACTGATTTGTGTACGTTAATCTCGTATCCAGAAACTTTGCTGAATTCTTATGTCAATTCTAGGAGCTTTCTGGAGGAGTATTCAGGGTTTTCGAGGTAAACAATCATATCATCAGCAAACAGTGACAGTTTGACTCCCTCTTTACTGATTTGGATGCCTTTTATTTCTTCCTGAGAGCAAGACCCTGTCTCAGAAAAAAAAAAAAAAAAAAAAAAAGAGGAATATGCATTAAGTAGTTGTTTTTGTTGGGAATTGTTTTGGTTTGTGTGGACTGCTATAACAAACTTTCATAGACTTACTGGCTTATAAACAACACAAATTTATTTCTCACAGTTCTGGGGTCTAGAAGGCTGAGATCAAGGGGTCAGAGTGACAGGGCTCTGCTGGGATTTGTCTTCTGGGTTGCAGTCTGCTGGCTTCTAGTTGTATACTTACATGGCAGAAAGAATGCGATGTAGCTCTCTGGTATCTTCTTATACGAGTGCTACTAATTCCATTCATGGAGACTCCACACTCATGACCTAATTATCTCGAAAAGGCCCACCTCCAAAGAGTATCACATGGGGGGTTAAACTGGGGTTTTAATTGTATAATAGAAGGGCACACACACTTATTTCATAAGCATTCCCTGAACCTGAGCTTCCTACAAACTACTAAAATCATTCTGATAATTGTAAAATGTTACTTTGTTACCATGGTGTATATTGAGGCTGAAGCCTACATTTTATTTAAAATACTCTGTTTTTGCTTAGAAATCAACAAAAATTTACATTTCATATTATGACAAATCTGCATTTCCCTGAATATAAAATAAAAACTCCCCAAATGTTTTAGCAAAAGTGATTCTCCAAGAAAATCCACTGTGTTTGGCCTATATCTTTAAATTTGCTTCTCCCATCGCTGTCTAACCCTTGGACTTCAGTAGTCCATCTTCAAATCAAGCAATATCTTGTGGCTTCATGGTTGAATTCATAGACTCTGGAGCCCAACTACTTCAAATCACTGCTCTTCTACTTACCTTGGGCTCATTTTGCAACTTCTTTAAATGTCAGCTTTGTAATCTGTGAAGTGGTTTGGGTAATAATATTTCTTTTATAAGGATATTATTACAAATATTGGAGCTAGTCTGTTCATAATGCTTATACAAAAATATTAGTATTAATATCATGTGGAAGTAACACTCTCTCTTACATTACTGCACAGATGTCACATATTTAGGGAACTTATCATATCCTTCCAAAAACCATCTGGCACATAGGAATTACTTAATGTGCAGTTCTTATTCTGATTATTATTGGCCTTTCAAAGTCCAGAGAAGAAGCTCCTTATCTCTAAAAATCACAAGTAAAATGATTTACCAATCAGTTATACCATTGATTAGCCCATATGTATTTTTATTTGAGGGAATTATAAACAATCCACAAAAGTTATTTCCTTTCCCTTCTGAAATATGTGAATAGAATGTATCACCTTTTTTGCAAATAATGAGCATTTTCTATTAGGGTATTTTTATTGTTTGAATTATTTTCTTATATTTAATAATTTATGGATAATTAGAACATTAATAAAATATTTTGCATATGTATTAATAATATATTATTTCTTGTGTAGTTACATTTTCATTAATTCAGCCCATAGTTCAAAAATTGGCATGTTTTTCTGTGAGAAAAGGTTAAGACTCACAGTTTCATAAAATGGGACAGCTGATTTGAATTTCTGGCAGACAAAATCACAAATTGATGTTTAAAATGCTGCTCTGCAAAATTGACCACTCTAGTTTTAGCTGAAATCATCTTTTCTCTAAGCATTTTAATTTTTTCCTGTCCTGGTATATGTCTCAAATTTGGAGTATAAGACTAGTACCCAGGGACTATTTAAATTCATAAAATTCATATAGAAAAACAATTTAACATTTTATGCATACTTTGCTGCACTAACAGATATCCATAAATTAAGATACCTATATTTTTCTGCCTAACAATGAACCTGTCTGATTAAAACGTGTTGATTAAATGTGATATTGCAGATCCTCCTTTAATTGAAACTCTAGAATTTCATTTTGGGATCCAGTGAACAATTCTAAGTGCCACTCAAAACTACAGGTCAAGTCTGCTCTTTTTGCTCACACAAATCTGCAAAGCTTCCATGTTTTGGAGATGATCTTCAGAGGGGAAGAGGCCAAATGGGGTGACGTCAACTGCTTGCTGGCTGTGACAATACAGTAGCTGTCTACATAGCTTTTCATGGTCCTCTAACACATATCCTGCCTGTTTTTTAAGCCACCGGACTAACTAATGGAGCCCAAGAAGTTCCAATAGAAACAGAAACTGCAACTGGTATGTGTAAATCAGGACTTGACAAGCCATAAAAGGCATGTGGCATCTAGGTTATAGCACAGGCTTTAGAACTCAGTAGAACTGGGGTCAAATCTAGGTCCTCATCACTTAAGGTTTCACTGTCTGGATTTTAAGTCCTGGCCTCATTTTCTTCAGTTGAAGAAGGACAATAATAAAAGTTACCTCACAAAATTTGGGGACAGATTAATCACATATTTGTACAGTGTCTGAGACATATTAGCACCAAAAAGTAATCATTTTATAAAATGTGCTGGTACTGGCTGGTACTGCCACAGATGGTAGAACCATTCAGGCTAACAGCTCAACTCACAACATGCATGGCAAAATGAAAACCAAGTCTAGATTTTATTTTAAGAAATCCTGTCCTTCTTAGTGGGATAGGACAGTGGTTTATGTTTTCTGCCTTAATTAAACCCACATTGCCTCTGACTTCAGAACCTCGCTACTTGTTTTCCAGCTGCGCTGCTGGAGTACCTTGCCCCATTTCCAATGTGGGCTAAGGGATTCTTCTTAGATATGGTTGGTGATTGGTCAGGACATGGGTTTGAGTCCTCTTGAGTAGGACTTTGACAGATGTCCTTGCTTAATTATCTCTCATTTTGTAGCAGACCATTCTTTAACTTTTTGATCCAGCTGTTGGCTAAATTCTTGCTTTCACCTAGGTCAATTATACTACCTGGTCACCAAAATCTTGCCTAGAATTCGGGTGTTGCTACCACCCTTCTAAAGATGAACACCACTAAACCCATTAGAACTCTGGATCATAGCCCTCAAATCCTGGAACTAAGTCTGAGGCTGTCTTCTATCCTCAAGTCAGTTCTCTAGTTTGCCTCTTTGATTCTTGTTAGTAGCTGTTGCCCTTATCTAATATAGATGTGGGATCTCTGTATCAGAGCAATAACCCTTTCTTCGCTACTACAATCCTGTCTTGGTTGTGAATTGTGATTGGCAGACCCCATTATACTAACCGTATTCCTTTCAGTAATGGTTGATTTAGGTGTGGTCATGTAACCTAGCTTTCACCAATAAGATCTAAGAGGAAGACTAATGAGAAACTTCTAGAAAAATTATTCTTCCCAGAAAAAGAGGTTTCTATAAGAAGAAAACTCGTTTTCTCTTACTACCACCTTTTACTATTCAGAATATTGTTATGTGAGAAGATCCAACATTTAGAGCTGAGGCATTGATCTTTCAAACATTAGATGAGAAACCTGGTGATAAAAGTCAAGGCCATAATAGAATAGAGAAAGCAGGCAAGGGCCTAGGCCCTTGAAGACATAACTGATGTATCAAAGAGCCCAGTGGATGCCCAGCTGAAGGTTTTCTGTTTGTATAATTTGACCAAACTCTGAATATGGCCTTCAGTTGCTGTTAGCTATAATATCCCCCTGATTTAAACAATATGCATAGTAATAATGTCAAGTTCAATTTTAAAATTGTATTAGCATTCAAGTAATCTAAACCTTCTTTGTTAAAGTATTCAGTGAATCAGAAATTTTCTACTTTTTCATGAACAATTCACTATGCAAAAAAGTATTCAGAGGATTTTTATTTTATTGTATTTCATTTCACTTGATTATAACTTCAGTATTTTTCTTTCCATAGGGAAGACTGTTCACTAAGAATCTTATCACATTCTTAGTATATTCTATGTTATGTATAAGGCATGTAACAAAGAAATGCCCTTAAGGAGCAGATAATTGACAAGAAGAGATGAAAGTTGCTCATAAATAACTGTAATACAAAGCAATATAAGATACATAGTCTGTGAAAAAGCAAGATATGGGTTATTGTAAAGTAGAAAGGTTACTTCCATTAAGTTCTTTCTAAACCAAATATCTTAAAGAAGTATAAAGGAATCTTGAAGTAATGAAAAAATTAAAGGTTTTGAAGTGGGGAAAATATTTGAATTCAGTTTGTAAGAGCTTACAAAGTGAGCGATCCTGTATATGTTAATTAAACTCTCTGTTTTAACGTTTACATATTTGTAAAATGAACATAATAACACCTTTATTTAGGGAGTTGTGATGCATATAAACCCTCTGGGACATAGCTGTGACACTATATATTTTAATTTTCTCATTCACTTTGGATGTAAGGAACAATTGTTTTAGGATAAGGAATGTCATTTTTTTATATTTCTATTTTGCACTGATTTGTATCCTCATACATTCATTCACCTTTTTTCTTAAAACAATCCTAAAAAATAGGCATTAGAGTTAACATCATTTATAATTTTATAAAAGGGATTTATACTGTAGGGATTTTGTATTGCTTTGTGAAAGGCCAACTAACTGGGAACCTACATGACCTAAGATCCAGTCTCATTTTTCAATAATCTGTCCCATGACAATGGGTGTGTGATATAACCTCTCATGTCCACATTTAACACTTTATAAACTAGAAATGTTCATAGAGATAATCTCTAATTCCCTCGATAACTCTTTGGCTACTCAAATGATGTAGCCTTCAAAAACAAGAAACCTGGGCTTGAACTTTGATTCAGGTCCAGTTTTTTTTTTTTTTTTGATGGTGCATACTCATAAATGAAATGATAATTAATAAGAATTTGGGCCACTTCAAAAATAATAGTTTAACCTCACTTTCTACCTTCAATGCCTCTAATACACATTTATTACTATTAAATCATTCATAGTTTTAGTTTTAAAATGATTTGCTGTCATGTATACAAATATCAGATAAGATGCTTTGAAAAAGAATTATACACCCTAGCAGAAATGAACACAAACAATGCCCTGAACTTGGTTTCTAATGTTATGCTCTATAAAAATAATAAGGGTTCTGTGGATGATTGGCTGGATTTAAAGATTGGTGAGGAAATACAATATGAGGTTGGGGCACCTTTTCGTCACAAAAAAAATGTAAAACTGTTTAAAAAATAAAAATGCAGAGCCATGTCTAAGGGACATAATTATAAACCTGAAAGAGCTTCCAATGTCCAAAGCTGAAACAATTTGAGCAACAAAATAAATAGCATATATTTTGAATAGCATTTATAATGAACTGGATTATAGCACAAAGCATAAAATACATATTTATGAATCTATATTGATATAAATGAAGAATCAAATAAATAAATGTGGGACAACAGATAAATAGTTCCACATAATTCACATAAGTGCACTTCCAAGTAGTGGAGCTAAATCTTCTCCCACTCCACCAGCATGGGCTGTACTCAGCTACTTTCTTCCAAAGAAAAGTGTATGCAAAGGCGTGGGACGGTGAAGGTGGAGTAGGAGCTGGAAGTAATTTCACAGAGGAGAAACCTGGCAAAAACTACCTAAGTCAGTGAGTAAGATTTACATCAACCATGTTAAATCATGTTGTATCATGTAACCCTGATATGATGTAATCAGAAGGGCATTTCGTCTAAACGGTGTTTTTCTCTGAAAACTTAAAGCCCAATATAATCAGAAAAATCTCAAATAGACCAAAATTGAGAAACATTCTACAAAATATCTGAGTCGCCCTCATCAAAATTGTCAAGGTTATGAAAAAGAAAAAATGACTGTCACAGGCAAGAAGAGCTTGAAGAGACATGATGACTAAGTGAAATAAATGCAATAAGGTAACCTAGAAGGAAACCTGAAATAGAAAAAAAATGACATGAATGTAAAAAGCTAGTAAAAGAAATAAAAAAATAAAGCAGGGGTTTACTTGAGAGTAACATGTCAAAGTTGGTTAGTTGTGACAATTGTACCATGGTTATGTAAGCAACAGTGTATGCTTGGTGAGGAATATACAGGAGTACTCCCTAAATCTTTCTGGAAATTTACAGCTATTTTAAAATTAAAAGTTTATTGAAACAAAAGGAGATTTGGGGTTATTATATTTCTTCTTATATTTTAATTTGTGATTATATAAGTACTGAAAATGAATCGTCCTGTATGACTGATGATGAATTATACCCTTCAGTGACCTTTAATAAATATCTTTGACTTATGGAAAATTTTGCACTTGCAGCTCAAAATGTGTTGTGTGTATGTGTATTAAAGTATTTATGTATGAGTGCGTATATATTGCAATTATCCAAGCATTTTAATTATTGTCACTCTGGGTTTTCTGGTCACTAGTGTCATAGATTAACATTTTTTCAGCTACAATACATTAACAGTTAAAATCTAGGGCTGACAGAATTTATGACATGAGTTCTTATTAATGATCTATTTTCCCCTAGCAATATAATTAGTGGAAAAGTAAAAAAAAAGTCAAAAATAATTCTATACAAAATGAAATACTGTCAAAAGGAAACCTAACTAGTGTAGAGCAAAGGGCTTGAGGAAGAGTCCTTAGTCTCTCTCTATTTCTTGGTGCTGATAGGAACCCACCGTTCACCATAGGATAATCTCATTTTATGTTCATTCTTTGCAGGGACATCACCTGGATTTTGCACTAGGAGTATCCTGTATCCCAGCTGCTTCTTCTTGCTTTTGGGGAATGGGTGTGAGTGACCTTTCAGGTAGAGTAGGAAACATTCTAAGCTTGAGCACCAACTGCTTGGAGAAATTGCACACCAACGCTGGGAATATCAGCTGTCCTAAAACTGGGACATGGAAGATTTCTTCATCCTCTATAATTAAACACAATTCCTACCCTTATCTTATCTACTTTAAATATAAGTTCTACTTTGTGGGGAGGCCTCTTGGCTTGGACCATATCAGGTTTCGGGGAATAGTGTCAAGGGCAATTGGAGATAAGACTAATATATATGATTATCAAATCATATGTTAATGTTATCATCTGCATTGACCAAATCTTTAGGCACATCCACACCTGAAATCTTCTGCTGCTATATAATGATTTTTCAAGAATTCTTTTGCAGACCAACCTAGACTTTTCTTTAAGATTTTTCTCTTGCACAAGTTCTGCTACTCAGATCATAGACTAGCCAGAATAGCCAGAATTCTAAAGTATCTAAAAACATCACTATTTTTGTATATCTAGTCTTCTGAGGAATCTCTTTATAGTCTATCAACAATAGACTGAAAATGTAGAATTATTTTGTTGCTTCTTCAAAGGCATTTCTTTATGTCCATAAATGCTTTTGTCCTATCATTTATTTTCTTAAAATATTTCTAAAAAAATGTAATTTGGTCCTTCCAAAGACAACAGCTATAAAGATGTACCCTAATCTAGTCTGTCTGCCGTAAGGTAACATCTAAAAACTCTTACCAGATTGAGAAGTGACAAGGGACTAGAAAGAAATGCTTCTGAGAAATGAAAAAGCCATAAACACATAAACTAATGTCTTGGATGTGCACTTTAGTTACCCACGTTAAAGACTTTATGTTTGGAATCATGGAACTAGGAAGCATGAGACAGCCTGCTGGCCCAGAGAGGGTTAAAAAACACTGTAAAGTAACTGGGCAACACATTTGGGAGACCAAGATAAACACCAGAATTTCTCATATATGTTGTGACTCTGTATGGACAGATGAACATTTTTGTCTTATATGATAATGTCCTGATTTGTAGGAGGCATTTCTAGACAAACACATCATTTTGGACTAAAAATGAATGCTTTTCACTAGTTATATCTAATGGCAAATATCAAATTGAAAAATATATTGGGAGGAATGAACTTTTCATTTTGTAATTTAGGAGAAACACAACAAAACCTACTATTACAAAAAAAGATTGAAGATTTTGAGAAGAATATAATTACTGGAAGGATGATAATTAAGTAGTAACATAGTATTATTTTAGCGAAGAAGAAAACAGAACAAGAAAAAACACATTAAACTTTTGCATATGAGAAAGAATGAACAAATATCTATGCAATAAGACAAATTGGCTTTTTTTTTTTTTTTTTTTTTTTTGACGGATTCTCTCTCTGTCGCCCAGGCTGGAGTGCAGTGGTGCAATCTCAGCTCACTCCAAGCTCCACCTTCTGGGTTCACACCATTCTCTTGCCTCAGCCTCCCGAGTAGCTGGGGCTACAGGCGCGTGCCACCATACCCGGCTAATTTTTTGTATTTTTAGTAGAGATGGAGTTTCACTGTGCAAGCCAGGATGGTCTCGATTTCCTGACCTCGTGATCCACCTTGCCTCAGCCTCCCAAAGTGCAGGGATTACAGGCGTGAGCCACCATGCCTGGCCTGGCATCTTAAATTATTGACAGAGGAAGGCTGAGCGTGGTGGCTCAGGCCTGTAATCCCAGCACTTTGGGAGGCCAAAGTGGGTGGGTCACCTGAGGTCAGGAGTTCAAGACCAGCCTGGCCAACATAGTGAAACCCTGTCTCTACTAAAAATACAGAAAATTAGCTGGGAGTGGTGGCGTGCACCTGTATTCCCAGCTACTCATGAGGCTGAGGCAGGTGAATCACTTGAACCCAGGAGGCGGAGGTTGCAGTGAGCCGAGATCGCACCATTGCACTCCAGCCTGGGCAAAAGAACGAAACTCCAACTCAAAAAAAAAAACAAACAAAAATTTAAAATAAATAAATATTGACAGAAGGAAAAAAACACGCTATGACAAATTTGGGGGCTAAAATGTGTAAAAAGAAGAATAAAACAAATACTGACTGACAATGGGAACCCAAAAACATTGGCAATGAGAGAATGTCCTGTGCAGAAAATGTTAGGAGGTTGTTTCAAATTAGAAATTTGAAAGCCACAAACTAAATTGCTGGATCCAAATTGTCAAGGCTGCCTAGGTAGGATGTAGGCAGTGAAAGACACGTTGCATTTGACAATTTAGTGGTCCTAGAGAGAGTGCTAGTGATATTGGTTTTAAAAAAGATACGGTTTAATTAGAGTTTGGTGAAAAGAACTAAATTGAATGGACATGGCATGGGAAGAGGCAAGAAGATGAGGCAGTGTGTGCGTAGACTGCACTTTCAGGAGGTTTGATCATGAATGGAAGGAGAACCGGGACATCTGCTTGAAGGCAATAAAGGTCTAAAGATGCATTTACCTAGAAACTTGTGAACATTGCTGTAGGTCAGAGAATCATCAGTGCCAAGGTGAAAAACAGAAGCAGAAAACCAGTGAAGACTGATATGAGTAAACCCCTAGCTGATGTGGTATGGGACGGGGAGCTGCAGTTCTTTTTGGAAGGGCGAATATGGGGATGAAAAAAACCTGTAAGTTTAAAAATAACTATAAAAGTAGCATGGAGAATTTTTCTGTGAGACATCTATTTTCTCTTGGACTTGACTGTGTGGGTGTATGTATTCATTTGCAACAGAGAATCTGGCTATGTTCTTTGAGAAAACAATTTGTAAATATTCGCAAATATTTGAGAGTGAATTCTAGAGAGTTTTTTCAGAGTCCTGATACTTTTAGTTTTTTACTTTTAGTAATTTTAGTTTCTTTTGGATGAATATTAATATCCTTTCGGGATATCTCTGCATAAGAAGTTAAAATGAAAGTACGTTGGATAAAAAATAGAATTTTCTCGTAATTATACACCACTGAAATGATACAGACTTGTATTTCAACAAAATAGCTAATATAGATAGGAAATAGATAGGAATAATATAGATAGGAATAAATAAATAATATAGATAGGAAAAATAGGACAAAGGGGAATATGAAATCTGCAACCTACTATTCTTAGGTTCCATTTTCAAGCAATACTAAAATGAAAACATTGCAAATGGTAAAGAATTATAATAACCAATATCACAAGTGAGCTTCAGATTATCACAAGCCAGTGGTTTCATTGTAGGAAAATGTCATGAGCTACAAAATGTTAAAATAGCCAAATAAATGGAAAGACAATAACCAAGGATATGAAATTTGTGTTTCCAATTCAACAGTCCTTATGCTAAGTTCCTATTTAAATTTTCTCTTTAATGTTTACTTTCAAATCAAACAAATGAAAAAAATATAAATGTGAAACCACGATAATCAATACAGGATTGTTATCTCTGGCATCTAGCTAAGAGTTTAGAAAGTCAGACTGAATTTGTGTTAGAACTTAAAATTACATGTGTGTTATATGTTAAGTTTCTAGTTCAATTGCTGTATTTTAAAAATAAAGTAATTAATTCCAGGCAAGTAACTGTAAATATGAAAATGGATGTTAGACATTGTGGCTCACCACTTCTGGGAACGTGCAGGGATGAAATTTATTCACATCATTGAACTTAAATGTGGCCATGTGGTTTATTTGGACCATAACATTTAAGCACAGTAGATAGATATCCATCCTTTTTGCCGGGAGGCATTTAGGAGCCAGTGCTTGGTTCTTCACTACCCTTCCTTCTGTTAGTAGTCTTAGAAACACAGGACTATATATCTGAGGCCTCTGTGTGAAGAAGAAATAAACATTTAAGGTGATGAACCGATGAGACTATGGATTATTTTAAAATATGCTAACACATCCTACCCTATCTTAAATTATATAAGATGTTTAAATTTTGTCAAACATTTTGATATCAATTTATATAAGTGAAGTGTAATTGAGAAGATTACACGAGATAATATAAAAGAGGACCTGGTTTAATAAATTTTAAATAAATGTTAATTACTTCCCTTCCATATATATTTGATGCATATTTGATAGGTTTAATTTTGTAACGTTTTAAATATTTTTATTATTTTCTTTCTATGTACTTACAGTATGATTAATACAGATGGTGTCCAATATTATCAAATACTGTGTTAAAATATTAGATTATAATATAGATACTCTTCAGCTTCTGATGGGAGTATGTCCTGGAAATCCTATCATAAATTAAAAAAAAATTGTAAATAAAAAATGCACTTAATGCCTGGATAAACCCTTTGTAAAATCAGTAAATCATAAGGTGAAACATCATAAGTCCTGAGGCTCTATGACTTACAATAGGGTTACATCCCAATAAGCCCATCAGAAAGTTGAAAAATGCTAAGACAGATCATCATTAGTTGGAAAATGTATTTCTTCTAAGGAAGCAGAAATAATTTATACTAATGAGCATATTGGTTTTATCATATATATACATAGTGTTAGCATGTAATTGATTAGTATAATTTTAGCCTGTGTTTCAGTGAAATAGCCAAAAAAGGATATTCTTATATTTATAGTTGTGCTAGAAAGCTGAGTGTTTGAAAGATAGGTTGTGCAGATATAATCTAAATATCATCACTGTGAAAGAAAAATTGCACTATACACATTTAAAAGGTAAGGTAGACTTTATTCAAGATTATTACAATGGGGTAGAGGGAGTGACCTCAACTCCACAGAAATAAAAGGCAGAAGGATTTTTAAAGCCTGCAGTGAGCTAATGGAAAAATACTGGAGTTTTCATGGGGAGGGCCAACTGTGTTTGCTGATTAGTACTTATCAAAGGTAGGCCCCTATCCTTCCACAGAGCCTGGGAGATAGGAGCACTGTCTTTCTTGATGATTACATTTTGAGGAGATGAATCCCACCTCCTTGAGAAAGATATTCCTGGGGTGTAAACATGGCAAGATGCTGGAAAAATATTTACATCTCAAAGGGACAGAGAAAAAATTTACAATGAAAGTTTTCTAAAGTAAATGCCATTAGAAAAGAGAGATCAGTGGCCTATGGTCAGGGAGAAACCTGTCTAAAGTTTAGTCAAGCTGAGGGGAATGTTAAGGTCATCCTGGTCGGCACTTATCTCATTATTTTTATTATTCAGTCATGATCTGTTTTCACAGAGACACTTCACATACCTCACAGTATGAAGAAAATGTTTTCACTCCCTGAAACCCAGCCTCGGCAATGTAACCTTCGTATATAATGAGGTACTTGGACTATATTAGTGGGAAGAAAAGAATAATTTACATGAAAAGTGATGAATGCTTTTTCTATCAAATTAATAAATGGCTATATTTGAATTAAAATAGGCTTAAGGGATTCAAATTATCTGAAATGCTATAGTGTTAATAATTTCTATAGTATGAGTGTTCATAAAAAGAGAAACTGTCATGTAATAGATAAATCATTGTAGGTATTTTGTTTCTTCTTCAAAGGCAGGAACAAAATTCATCATTTGAATCATTATTTAGTTTATTGAATCGGACTTTCTTCGAGCATTTTAAAATGTCTCTCAGCTGTGGCAGGCATTTTAAAGTTCCTCTGATTCTCAGATATAAATTATGAATCTCAAGACAATATAGTAAACTCTAGGACTTAGTTTATCAGACAAGCAGAAAAGCTAAGAAAAAAAAGAGATTTTAACTTTCAATTTTATTGCTATTCAATTCCTTTTGCTCTGGAGGGAGGCTCCTACCACAAGCCAGGTCAAAATAGTAAAAGAGTCTGGCTCCAGTACAAAAGTAAGACGTCATTTTTTACACATTATGTACTCTTCACCGCCAGTTTTTCCCTGTCGTCTGCTGTTATTTAAACATCCTTTAAATTTCATTCCAAGGAATGGTTCCTCATTTCCATGGTTAAAGTATTTTTACCAAATGTGAGCAACACTTTTTTAACCAATGAGATGGAAAATATTTCAGAGTTCTATAGCTCTTTGTCATTAATTTTGGTGAATCCTTTCAGTGAACTGTGCTGAACCTTGTAAATATCTACTTTCCACTTTAAAAAAGTTAAAAATAGGAGTCCTTGAAGTATTGAACTAGAGAGATGAATTAAATACAGTCACTGCCTTCAAGGACAGCAGAGTCTGAATGGGGTGGGAGGATCGGACAAACAAATTAAAATGTGATATAATATTGATTATAAAGATATGTACATGATGATGAAGAAGCAAAGAGGAAGAATACCTAATAGTCTGGTCATCTGAGGAAGATACATATTTTATACTGTGTGGTTGTAAATTGGTCTTTCCTCCATGAGCCTGTATTGATGAGTGACTATGTATTAGAGATATTGCCACTCCCTTCAGGCTCCAACTACCAAATAAAAATTAACAAGTAAAATAAATTAAGTATGTATCTTTGTGGTGTAAACTCACTAATATATGGGTGTCAATTTGTTACCACAGTGTAACTAGCCTATACTAACCAAAACAGAAATTGTGACTCAACATAGGGTGATATATTAGTCCGTTCTCTCGCTGCTAATAAAGACATACCTGAGACTGGGCAATTTATAAAGAAAAGAGGTTTAATTGACTCACACTTTACCAGGGCTAGGGAGGGATCAGGAAACTTACAATCATGGTGGAAGGGGAAGCAAACACATCCTTCTTCTCATGGCAGCAGGAAGAAGTTCTGAGCCTAAGAGGGAAAAGCTCCTTACAAAACCATCAGATCTTGTGAGAAGTCACTCACTCTCAGAGGAACAGTATGAGAGTAACCACCCCCCATGATAAAATTACCTCCCACTGGGTCCCTCCCACAACACGTGGAGATTATGGGAACTACAATTCAAGATGAGATTTGGTTGGGGACATAGCCAAACCATATCAGGTGCCATCTTAAAGGTTAGCCAGTAGCTATTGAAGATTCACAATGAAAGTTTTCCAGAAAGAGCAGTACTCATTCTAAGTTCTGAAATTCAAATAGATGTTAATCAGATGGAATGCAAAGGAAGGTCATGCTATTTAGAGAACAATATTATGCAGAGCTCTTTGATATGAAAGAACAGAGAATATTTAGCATACTCTGAAGAGTAGTACAGGAAGGTAAGTGAATGGATATAAGATTATTGGTAGGGGAGCAAACTGGATAGGTAGGTACGTTTTGGATTATAACTGATATTATATTCTGTGAAAAGAATCTCAGACTTTTATCCCAAGTATTATGTAGAATGTTTGCATATAATAAATGCTATAAATTTTAATAATTATTAAATTAATTTTATATGTGTCATTACATATGAATTAAATTCAATTTAGTAGTCACTCTTTGTAAATTATTTTCTAATACATTGTCTTTTTTTTCTTAAAAATTAAAATAGACTGGTTCAATGTGTTTGAATAGTGAACTTTCAAATGAATTTCATTTTAACTATGGGAATTCCATTACATAATGTAATGTTTCTAGAATTTTCAACATTTACTTTAGATGCCATAGGTGAAAGTGGAAATCATTGTGCTAATAGAGCATCATGGTGGTTATTCTGTCAGCCATGAAATATAATTATTAGAAAAGTGAGGAAAATAAATACAAATATCAGTTCCTTAAATGAAATGGCTGAGCAAATTTTAAATTCATGAGGTCCCATGGATATTATGCTGCTTGGAAATATTAATGTGAATATTATGGTGTCCAAGTTTCATGATAAGTGGTTACTGAAAAGCTGGGTTGCACTGCTAGCCAGTTTTTGGCATGTGACTGCATTAATCTTGAATGCAGGGCTATATTGATCCATCTTACTTTCTTCTCAGCAAAAATAAGAAATGTGTCATCCTCAAAACAAGCCTCTAAACAGGTCAGCATGAATTTGAAAGCACATTGACATAATTGAGGAAGAGCAAGAAAAAAATGTGTCCCTGTAGAACATGAAGATGTATTGTGGCAGAAGGAGAAGTTAAGGCACCTAGAAAAATGAGTTGCTGACTGCCTGTTTGTGTAAGTAAAACATTGTTCTATAGAATTCATTTTGTAGAGCTGATAGGAAGTTACAAATTAGTACCTCACGTCAAGGCCAACTATATAAGGAGCTCTTTACAGTTACAATAAATTTTATGTTCTCTTAGTTAAAAATCTGGACACACTTCAATGAAATATATAAGAGTAGAGAATATCAATTTATGCATTTTTTAAAAAATAACCATGGAACATGAAAATACACATTGAAAAAACTTGAAAAGGGCAACCAACTAGTTAAGCTAATGCTCAGACATCAACTTTGGAGTGCTTTCGAACTGTGTGTATGTTATATGAAGCATTATTGTAGAACACTTGTCTGTGTAATCTATTGAACATGGATACCATTTGTTCTCATTTGCTTTACTTCCAAAAATTTAACTTTCCAGGTCTTAAAGAAGACGTCATTGAAATTTAGCCCTGCTGTTAGTAGTTGCTAAATTAGACCAAAAATTCCTGCAGCAAAACTTAATGTATAGGCTTATTTTCTGAGTTATAGAATGATTTTCTTAAATAATTCTACAAAACTTTATTGAGTGCCAACAATATGGAAGACACTCTTCTAATCTAGGGATGTACAATTTTAGAAAATATAACTATTATGCTTACTGTCTATCACAGTAAAATATGACTAGTTATAAATAAGTAAAATTCTGATATGTCAAGTGACAAAAGATTTATGGAGAGAATAAAATGTTTTTTGTATTGGGGCTATACTTCTGATCAGATAATGTTTCAGCAACAATAGTAAATGTATTTTGATTAAAAAGGTAAAAAATATGACATTCAGAAAATCTATAATTAACATGATAAAAAAAGTTAAAAATATGACTTTCAGAAAATATATAATTAACATGTGTCAATGCCTTTATTCAACCTACTCATTAGAGAAGGGAAAAGGAAGATGGTAACATTGATTCCAAAAGTATTTTGAGAATATGATCTTTCATAGTCACATTGAAAACAAGACTTGTTAGAATAAAACTTTTAAACTAGATACAAACCTTGGTTAATATCCTTTACGATAATAAAGCACAACTTGTGGGATCGTCTTTTCATCTAAACAGTACTTTACAAGTTAGCCTGTAACATAACTTGAGTTTATCTCTATCAAATAGGAAATAACAGAAAATTTATCCTAGGCAATTAAAGAATCCTTAGATGAGCTTCTTAACCTGCGATGTCCAATATCACTTTGAAAGGACATGGAGTACTCTTTTTTGATTTCCATGTTTCTGATAATTTTTATTAGCAATTCTCTACCAATATTGATTTACAATCCTGTATTTTCCTTAGTTGAGGTATACAACTATTTTTGGCTAATAAGATATGAGTAAAAATTATGGTAACTTGCTTATACTGTGCTGCTGTACTAAAAGGTCACTCATGATGCTTTAACATCTTCCTTGCTCTGCTATGCCAGCTGAAGGAGATACATATTTTATACTTTGTGACTGTAAATTGATTGGTCCTCCATGAGCGTGTATTCCCAAATGACTGTGTATTTGAGATATCATCACTCCCGTCAGGCTCCAACTCCCAAATAACAATTATCATGTAAAATAAATTAAGTATGTAATTCACTAATGTGTTAATGCACTAATATTTGTGTGTCAATTTGTTACCATAGCAGCACTAGCTTATACTGACCAATATAGAAATTGTGACTTAAAATAGGGTGACATCTTAAAGGTTAATCAGTAGTTAATGAAGATTCATAATTATAAGAAGTTAAAAAGATAATTATTTATGTACATAGTCCGAAATACTTAGTAAATTCTCTTCTGAGGTTCCTTGGAAGGCAGATCATGTATTCTATAAAACTGTATTTCTAGAGGAATAGTTTGGAACAATGATAATAGCACATGCTTGTTGCTGTTATGGTCTGAATTGTGACTGGCTGACCCACCCCCAAAAATTTATGTTGAAGCACTAACCCCCGATGTGACTATATGTGGAAATAAGGACTTTAAAGAGATAACTAAGGTTAAATGACATCTTAGGATGGGGCTCTAATCCAGTATGACTGTTGTCCTTATAAGAAGAGACACAAGAGATGCACACTCACAGAGAAAGGGTCATGGGAGGACACAGAGAAGTCAGCCACCCGCAAAACAAGGAGAGAGGCCTAGGGAGAAACTAAACTGCTGTTGATCCTGGACTTCCGGGCTCCACAACTGTTGGAAATTAAATGTCTGTTGTTTAAGCCACCCAGTGTGTGCTGTTTTGTTATGGCAGCCATAGCAAACTAATGCAATTTCTATTGACGGCATTTGGCAAAGAATTACAAGAAAAACATTAGCTCAGAAAAAAAAAAAGACTGGTTTACTCCTTCAATTTAACCTCAATTTTTCTAAGGCAGAGAGAGGACTGAGAAAACTGTGTGTCTCTCAAGGAAAGCAAAGAATACATATAACCAAACAGGATAAATGCAGAGGAAAAAAATAATCTCCCAGAAGACAGTTCTAAGGGCCACATTAGAAATGACAATTCTTCCAGGGAGCAAAATCAATGCCTAGTTAAGACATATTTAACATTCCAAAGGTATAACTCTCATAATTGCTAGCGTAATTGCTGGATATCTTCCAATCATTTCCCTTTCAAATATTTGTTATTTCTGTTTGTATTTCTAAATTCTGCATTAGTTGGAATGGAGGAAATAGAAAATTTTTCTTTTTTAGTTCATAAGAAACCCAACTGGACTGGATGTAGAGTTTACCACATGCCACAATTAAATCCCAGGCTTTGCCACAGATTCGGTGTCTGGATGGAATTTTTGTTTATTTCCATTGGGAATAAGTTGAGTATTCTAAATGTGGGAGAAAGGAAATGATGGGAAATTTGATGCAATAACAGGATTGCAGTAGAAACAGTGATGCTAATTTATTGCTCTCCTGTATTTTAATTCCTATTTAAGTTAGAATGGAGTAGATGATAAGTACTAGAAATAAAACGTGACTGGACATGTCAAATATCCTTATTAGACTAAGGCTATAAAATTTGGAGGTTCATTCTTACCAAAGCATAAACAACACCACCCTAATAAATAAAAGCAGAAACACAAAGGAAACTATAGATTAGCTTATGTGGATATCTGGGAAAAGAATGTTCCACACAAAGAGAACTAGGT